>NC_000010.11:12737272-12888787 GCF_000001405.40 Homo sapiens | reverse complement strand
TTTAGTTGGACTTAACAACTCAGACCTGAGTGTTTAGTTTGGAAGAAGCAGGCTGCTGCAGATCTCTGAGTTACCCAACCCAAGGCCACGTGGAAAGTTTTTCTAAGCATCAGCTGAAAGGAGGGGCTGGCCTGGCCTCCCCAGCGTCCATCCAGGTAGCCCTGTCTGTGTCCCAGAGGCACAGACCTTTCAGATCCACCCAGCATGCCTGATGCCAAGAACTATTCACCAGGGGGGACTTCAGAGAGGAAAGCAACACATCATGTTGAGAGAAATGATTTTTTTTTCCACAATTTTTTCTTGTTTTGACCATGAGCATCAGTGATGATGAGTAGAATATTTGTCCTGGCATCAGTGTAGAATTTCCATCCCACCCTGAACCCCAGCAAGCAAGGGCCAGGGCTCCCGCAGCCCTTCCTCACCTCCACACTGTGGCTGATGGCCCCCCTGGCACAGAGCAGGGACCCAGATTGGGGTGGGGAACGTGAAGAGTGGGAAAGCTTTCGGCTCAGGAAGCATATGAAAGAATGGTAGGATTCTCCTACAGTGCTCACTTGCATCACACAGAACCTGTTTCTGCTTTAAAAATCCCATCGGTTGCAGCTGCACTTTTTCAACCCATGCCATTGGTCTCTTTTTCATTTTCCTTTTACAGTGGGACTTTCAAGGATTGGATGGTGGCAGGAAAAGGGAACATTATCACCCACAAATCAGAGCACCCAGAAAGTAACCAGACAGCATTTCACAAAGAACCGTTCTACATCTCTGAGGAAGGGGCCCGATCCTCAACTCACCCTGACCATTTTGGTGCCAGACACCAAATGCCAACAAGCCTGAGTGGTGTGTCATACACATCGTTTTCCAGCTCTTAAATAATCAAATATCATTGAGGTTTGGGGCTTTTCTGTTTCCTTGGGCTACAAACATTTAACTCCTCCTTTTCTCCCAAAATACTGTGATTGATACATGCAGATCCTTCTAGCCCTTTATCACACTATTTAGTGAGGGAGAGACAGTTTTTCCCTCACTAAGAGGCATATACAATATTTCAAAAGAGAAACAAATTCTAGCATCTCCCTGCATTCATCACGATTTCTCTTAACTCATGAACTCTGCCCTCTTCTTCAGTGATGGAAATCGTGTGTAGGTTTTTCCTTTGCCTTCATGCCTCCCTATTGGGTAATTCACATGCGTAAATTAATACTCTTCAGCATAGAAAGAGGCTCTTATTTCAAGATAACAAATGTCTGAATCCTCCCCTCCCCTCCCCTCCCTTTGACAGGATCTCACTCTGTTGCCCAGGCTGGAGTGCAGTGGCACAATCTCAGCTCACTGCAGCCTCGACCTCCTGGGTTCAAGTGATTCTCCCACCTCCTCCACATGAGTGACTGGGACCACAGCAATGGGCCACCAGGCCCAGCTAATTTTTTTACTTTTTGTACAGATGGGGTCTCACTTTGTTGCTCCGGCTGATTTTGAACTCCTGGGTTCAAGTGGCCCTCCTGCCTTGGCCTCCCAACGTGCTGGGATTAGAGGTGTGAGCCACCATGCCCAGCCCTACTTTCTTATCTGGACCCACTGACTCCCTTCTTCCTATCTCTGAATAGATTTGGAGGATAAACCTTGCTGAGAAGCTGAGACCTGGATGATGCTTCTGGCTTCCTCTTTGGAGGACAGCTAGTGCTTAGCTTCTCATTCCAGTCTCTCTCGCAGTGGCTCATGCCTGTAATCCCAGCACTTTGGGAGGCCGAGGCTGGTGAATCACTTGAGGTCAGGAGTTTGAGACCAGCCTGGCCAACATGGAGAAACCCCATCTGTACTAAAAATACAAAAACTAGCTGGGTGTGGTAAAGCATGCCTGTAATCCCAGCTACTTGGGACGTTGAGGCATGAGAATCGCTTGAACCCGGGAGGCGGAGGTTGCAGTGAGCCGAGATTATGCCACTGCACTCCAGCCTGGGCAACAGAGACTCAGTCTTAAAAAAAACAAGAAGTTGGATACAGGCTGCATTCCCAGATCTCTCCAGTGTGTTGGGTTGGAACATAAAAATAGCCATCTCCCCTCCAGGGGACAGATCCCAATTAGAAATCTTAAATTCTTTCTCAATTTCATTTTCCATGGAAGACCAGATTTAAAACCAGGCAACTGGCAAAGAGCCACACAGTTTTCCAGCTTGCTGGCCATGACATCTCATGAGAACAACTCAAAACACTTAGAAAAATCTTTTGTTTCAGGAGCTTAGCAGGAGGCTGGAGTGGATCCATCCATCTCTGGCCCATGATCCTGCTAACAAGCTTGCATATGCCATGGTGCTCAGTGATGAATGCAAACGGTGCCCAGTGGCTGGCAGGGCTTGGAAATTTGCCATGTTGTTTGCCTCCACACTCCCTGATAATTGCTCCCTATGCCATCTTTAAAAACCCATTTCTGGCCTTGGGCTAAGGGCTTGATCTGGAATAAGGCTGCCTCAGCCCATGCTTGGAGCTTCAATTAATCCACTCTGAACCATGATATCTCAGAGATAGCTCATTAAGTTCTTCAACAGATATTTATTGAGCACCTAGGGTGTGCCAGGCACTGTGCTAGCTCTGGCTGACAAGGATCGCCACAACAGGCACACCTCCTTCCAACATAGAGTCAAACTCTCTCTCCAATGGTGGAGAGAGACAATGAACTTGAACTAGTACTAGTCATTATCATTACAAACGACTGCTTTCAGTGAAACCAACATTGTGCTGGCTGAAGAAATGCTGCCATGGGAGTGGAAGCTAAGGGAGAAGACCCATTTTAGATAGGATGGTCGAGAAAGTGCTTCTTAGAAAGTAGTCTTTTTGTTTTGTTTGTTTGTTTGCTTGCTTTTTGAGATGGAGTCTCACTCTGTCGCCAGGCCGGAGCGGGACGGTGCAATCTCAGCTCGCTGCAACCTCCGCCTCCCAGGTTCAAGTGATCCTCCTGCCTCAGCCTCCCAAGTAGCTGGGACTACAGGTGCACCCCACCACACCTGGCTAATTTTTGGGTTTTTTAAATTAATTAATTTATTTTTTTGAGATGGAGTCTTGCTCTGTTGCCCAGGCTGGAGTGCAATAGCACCATCTCAGCTCACTGTAACCTCTGCCTTCTGATTTCAAGTGATTCTCCTGCCTCAGCCTCCTGAGTAGCTGGGATTACAGGCACCTGCCACCATGCCCAGTTAATTTTTGTATTTTTAGTAGCGACGGGGTTTCACCATGTTGTCCAGGCTGGTCTCAAACTCCTGACCTCGTGATCTGCCCACCTCGGCCTCCCAAAGTGCTGGGATTACAGGTGTGAGCCACCGTGCCAGGCCAATTTTTTATATTTTTAGTAGAGACGGGGTTTCACCATGTTGGTCAGGATGGTCTCAATCTCTTGATCTCAAGTGATCCGCCTGCCTTGGCCTCCCAAAATGCTGGGATTACAGGCATGAGCCAGCATGCCCAGCCAGAAGGTAGTCTTTAAAATGAGAAGGACTGGCCAGGCGTGGTGGCTCATACCTGTAATCCCAGCACTTTGAGAGGCCATGGTGGGCAGATTGCTTGAGCCCAGGAGGTCAGGACCAGCCTGGGCAACATAGCAAGACCCTGATTATTCAAAAAATACAAAAATTAGCCAGGCATGGTGGCATGCACCACGTGACTCGGTCCCAGCTACTTGGGAGGCTGAGGCAGGGGAATCGCTTGAGTCCAGAAGGTCAAGACTGCAGTGAGTCATGATTGCCCCATTGTGCTTGAGCCTGGGTGACAGAGCTGGACCTTGTCTCCTTACAGGGAGCCTGCAAATATATATGATCCCTCAGGAAACGGACTACTCACTGGAGTGCAGTGACTGGCTATCGTGTCTCATGTCTACTGAGAACCATGAGGACCATCTCTGTGCTCGCCTCCCTTTCCTGCCCTCACACTTGAGCTCCCACTCCCTTGCCCCCACCCCTGTAGGCATCTAGGGAGAATGAAATATACTTTAGAAGGTGACAGGAGGAAGTGGTCATTCCTGCAGTGAATGCAAGGAGAGGTAACAACAAAACGCTGTACGTTGCTCTGGGCATTTCCTTACATCTTTAGCCTTGACCTTGCCTCTGAGCTCCAGATTCATATCCAGTTGCAGACCTGCCATCTCCACATGGTTGTCTAACAGGCATGTCTAATTTAGCAAGTCAAAACCAGAGCTCCAGGCTTCCTGCTTCACACTTCCTTCCCTCGGCAGAGGGCACCAACATCTACCCAGCTGCAGAAGTTAAAATCACTCAGAGCCATTCTTGAGTCTTTACTTTCTCATTCCCCTCCCTCAATACAGCAGCCTGCCCTGTTGACCCAATCGCCAGCGTGTATCCAGAGTCCACGCGCTTTGCTCCTTCTCTAAGACCACCAGCCTGGTCCAAGCCCCCGGTGCCTGTGCTAGTGTCATGACATCCTACAAATTTGCTGGCTTCCACCGTTGTCCCCACCATGAATAATTTTCCACAACATAGCCTTTGATCCAGGCTCGCCACAAACCCACTTTGAGCTATTCTTCCTGTTCCTTAACCCTCAGCCTGGCTCACTCCTCTCCAGTCATACCGGACTTTCTATTCCTTGACTGCCCAAGCTCATTCCAGCCTTTGCACTTCTTATTCCTTCTGCCTGGAGACCCATTCCTTCAGATCGTTGCACGATCTCCTCTTCCTTCTTTAAAACTTGGTTCAGACACCCCTGAAGGTTCAGGAAGCCTTTCCCTGTGCATTCTCTCCAATATATTCCCTAGGTAATGACATTACTTTGTTTAATTTCATTCATAGCATGTATTTCTACCTGCACTTGTTGTTTTACTTGTCTATGGCCTTTCCTCTCCTTTTTTAGAAAATTAGTTCCATGGAATACTATGCAGCCATAAAAAGAACTATATCATGTCCTTTGCAGGAACATGGGTGCAGCTGGAGGCCATTATCTTTAGCAAACTAACACAGAAACAGAAAACCCAATACTGCATATTCTCACTTATAAGTAGAAGCTAAATAATGAAAACACATGGATACACAGAGGGGAACAATAGGGACAGGGGCCTACCAAAGGGTGGAAGTAGGAGGAGGGAGAGAAATAGAAAAAATAACTATTGGGTACAAGGCTTAGTACCTGGGGGATGAAATAATATGTTCAACAAACCCTTGTGGCAAGAGTTTACCAATATAACAAACCTACACATGTACCCCTGAACCTAAAATAAAAGTTGTTTTTTTTAAAAGAAAAAAAAAAGCTAATAAATCCCTTCTTTAGAAAAAAGAAAATTAGTTCCATGGGCACAGAGTCCCTGTCTGTTTTATGTATATACATACAAACGTGTGTGTGTGTGTGTGTGTGTGTGTGTGTGTGTGTGTGTTAATAGAGACAGGGTCTCACTTTGTTGCCCAGGCTGGTCTCGAACTCCTAGCCTCAAGCAATTCCTCCACCTTGGCCTCCTGTCCCCCTTCTGTTTGGTTTCCTGCTCTACTTCCCAGAATGGTGCATCTGCCCTGCCTACCAACAACAGTGCCTGACTCACAGAATGTGCTCATTATATGCTTGTTGGATGAATGCATACATGAATAAAAGACAGTATGAAATACTTTCATAACAGTCTTAAAATATATATTGAGAAAACATTACTACCATTTAAGAGATGAAGAACTGAAGGCTGAGAGACCCAGAGAGATTAAGTAACTTGATCAAAAGCACATAAATAATACGTGGTGGAGCTGGAATTCAGTTCAGACACAAATGTTCTAACTCTAGTTCCTATCTTTCTTTTTGGCTGCGACCACTTTTTTTTAATTTTCAATCATCTTTGGGTCATAAATTACATACAATAAAATATAACCATTTTAACTGCCTAGCTCAGTAAGTTTTGACAAATATATACACCCATGTGACACCACCAAGATATAAAATGAGATACAGAATATTTCCACCACCCCAAAACTTTCCTTGTTCCCCTTTGCATTCAATCTCTGTCATCCTTGGCACTGGGCAACTCCTGATCTCCTTCTGCTGGTGCTCATATTTTTTGTGTATTACTTGAACAACTTTTCACCCCTAAGGCATATGGCCTCTCTAAGCTTTTGGCTTCTCGTTTGTAATATACAGGTGATAATATCTTCGTCGTAGTTATACATTAGAATAGTTGATGTCTCTAAAGTGCTTAGAATGGTATTCACCATTGTATGAGTCTACTTGGGCTGCTATTACAAAATACCACAGACCGAGTGGCTTCAACAACAGAAATTCATTTTCTCACAGTCCTGGAGGCTGGAAGTCCAGATCAACATGCTGGAAGATTCGATCTGGTGAGGGCTCCCTTTCTGGCTTGTAGACAGCAATCTTCTCCTTATGCACCCACATGGCATTTCCCTCTGCCTGGGCAGAGAGAGCAAACTCTCTGGTATCTTCTCCTCCTCTTACAATGACACCAATGCCATTATATTAGCACCTACCTTTATATCTCATTTGACTCTAATTACCTGCCAAAGTCTCCATCTCGTATCATCACATTGGGGGTAGGGCTTCAAAATAAAAATTCTGGGAGTACGCAGTTCAGTTCATTCAGCTATTATCATCACAAGGTCATGCAACTAGTAAATTGCAGAGCTGAGACTTGCCCCCAGGGCCTTGAGGGTTTGCTCATTCCATTACCCAAAGCTTCCTCCCTGTTTACCGAAGCCATCAGATGATGTACAGAGTGATATGGGAAGATGTGAGATCTTTCTTTGCAGAAGTGGCGACTTTCCGAGTAGACCTGCACTGTAGTTGTCTCATCTCAGTCCTAGAAAGGTTGGCTAGAGCAATCGCAAGGGCAAGGCTTTCAGGTCAGACAGCCCTGGAATGGATCTGTGAAATGGAACTAAAAGCATCAGGGTCCATGAGGTCATGAATGGTAAGAACTTCCCACATGCTTGACCATTAGTGGGAGATTGGCCCATGGTGACTAGCATTGATTTCATATGGGGACCCTCCCAGTAAGGGTCTTCAGGTCACTTGAGCCTCATTTGCTGACTCCAAACTCATCAATCTCCTTCACCCCTCTTCATGCTCTCTACAAGCTATCATTTCTGCAAGACAATTCCAATGAACCTAGATGGACAGAAGTTTCTAACTTATAGGCCTTCACCCAAGAGTCAAAAAACAATATGTTTTTCTTTTGTTTGTTTTGTTTTGAGACAGGGTCTCTTTTGTTCAGGCTGGAGTGCTGTGGTACAATCATAGTTCACTGCAACCTGGACCTCCCAGGCTCAAGTGATCCTCCTGCCTCAGCCTCCCAAGTAGCTGGGACCATGGGCATGCAACATCACACCTGGCTATTTTTTTTTCTTTTTTTTTTTGGGTAGAGACAGGGTCTCACTATAGTGCCCAGACTGGTCCAGAACTCCTGGGCTCAAAGCAGTCCTCCCATCTTGGCCTTCTAAAGTGCTGGGGTTATAGGCATGAGCCATCACACCCAGCTAGCTATGTCTTTTATTGATCTAATTATCCCTAAAAGCACAGACAATATAGCAGAAGTGGAAAGAGCACATCCCTAAAATCCCATTTCTTCTCCCAGGAGATGTGTTTTCCTCAGTAGAACTGAGCTTGACATCCCAGGGAAAACCACATCTTAAAGAGGAATTGTAGGGAGCTGTATTAGTCTCTTTTCTTGCTGCTGATAAAGATATACCCGAGACTGGGAAGAAAGAGAGGTTTAATTGGACTTACAGTTCCACATGGCTGGGGAGGCCTCGGAATCATAGTGGGAGGTGAAAAGCACTTCTTACATGGCAGTGGCAAGAGAAAAATGAGGAAGATGCAAAAGAAAAACCCCTGATAAAATCATCAAATCTCATGAGACTTATTCACTACCACGAAAACAGTATAGGGGAAACCGCCCCCATGATTCAAATTATCTCCCACCAGGTCACTACCACAACATGTGGGAATTATGGGAGTACAATTCAAGATAAGATTAGGGTGGGGACACAGAGCCAAACCATATCAGGAGCAATTGGAATAGAGCTTAGATTTTAATTATTTAATTTAAAAATGCAATGTCTTATGAATAGCCAACCTCAAGGCATTTAAAGAACAAAATGGTGCCCTTTCTAAATAAAAATACTTCTCCAGACATCAGAGAGCTTTTGGGAGACATTTGGTTCTTTTCAAACTAGAACTAAACTAAATGTTTAAAATCTTAATTTAGGGCAGCTGGTCTTATTTGATACTGCCAAGTTGTTCTTTCCTTAAAAGGGTGCTGTGAGGGAAGAAACTGAAGGCTAGAATAAGGTCAGCATGGTTTAAATCCCATGCTATTAAAAAGATGTTCAGCACCATGACAAGGTGCACTCTGACTGGCTGACACCATTCAAATGAATACAGAACTATACCTAATGGCTTTGACCCATGTGGAGGGGTCCCCACCAGTGTGAGGCCCTGGGCTATAATTTAGTCTGCACCAGGTTCTGGGGGTTTTTTTTGTTGTTTTATTTTTTCCTTTATTGTCTTATTGAATCTTCACAACTGGCCTGGAGCAAGTATTTTACAATAAAAAATGGAGCCCCATTTTACAGATGAGGAAAATAAAGGTCAGAAAGCCTAACTTCCTCCTCATTCATATAACTAGTAAGTGATGGAGCTAGGTTTGTGAACCTTGAGCTGTCTGCTTCCAAAGCCATCGAGCTAATTGCAGAGTATCACATTAATAAGAGCAACTATTTGGGGAGCTCTCTCTAGGGGCTGAGGCACTTCAGGATACACTTTAGGTGGGTAGAGAGTCCACATGGTGTTGGAAGATTGTAGGGATGAAGCACTTTGGAAAATGGGTAGGAACTGGAATATGCCATTGAGTGGATCTACTGGGAAGGCTTCACTTCTTAAATGATTTTCTCTTGGATACTGGGGAAAGTCATAGCACATTACTATAAAATGCATCTCACCCCCTACAATGAAATTTCATTTAATTATCCATACCCTTTAGTAGCAGGCACTAGGGAACAGGTGGAAACATGGAAAAATCCACATAGAGCTCACTTAGGGCATGAAAAGAAAAAAATTACATTGAGTGTGTCACATGTGAGAAATAGATACCTGCCAGGTTGATAGAAACAAGCTAAATATATATAGCAGTGACGTGAACTCAGTCAGGATTCTTTGGTTCCAGATGTTAGAAAACCTAATTCAAACTACATTAAACTAAAAAGGAAACTTTAATTCAAGTTAAGTTTTTAATTACTAATGCAGTCACATCTCCCCACTGGAACCAGGGACAGGGAATGCCATCCTATCAAAGGGTGTGTTAGCACCCAGCTGGCAGTAAAGTGGGATCCCAGAGGGATGAGAGAGCCCACAGACTCCAGGAGCACAGCTGACAGGCCACTCGGGAAAGACTGAAACTAATATATGCATCTTCACCATATGCATGGGAAAGAAAGGAGCCTTGAGGAGAAGAAAGGCTGATGATTGAGTTTGACATGTAGCCAGAACTTGCTTTTACCTAAACTTCATTCTTCACTTGAGAATATAAAATAATGAAATCAATTTAGATATGAAAAAACTAGACTGACTCCATTATAACCAACTGTAGAAGTTAACATGAACCGCACACAGTCCACAGAGGCTCCCATACTCCTCAGTCAATAGTTCTCAAGAAGGTCCAACAAAATCGACTCCAGCCCTCAGAGGTTGTCAGGGCTGCACTGAGCTGAATATCAAGGATGGAAAATGGTTGCTTCTCAGGGTAAGCACTAGTGAGGGGCAAGAATGCTGCTGGTGTTGTAAAGAACAGTGAGGAGGCTATCCTGAGTGAGATCATTTAGTTTCCATCTTTGATGATCCTAGCCTTTCTTAGCATTATGTAAAAATGCAGTGGAGACAAAACTTCACTTGAATGATTGTAGATTCAAACAATGACCAGTTGTTGCCTCTTGTCTTTCAATTGTTTTGTACTTTGACTCAAAATCAATTGCCAGGGAGAGGTGTTCTCTCTCCCCCTGGTGACTTTAGGGCCAAGGCACCCTCTGCATTTTGGAAGGAAATGTGCAGCTTCCTTTTTTCCCCACATACTTGCTATTTTTCACCACCATCTTGTTGCAGCTGACTCTGCTACCACCTCTAGCTCCCAAAAAACAAACAAACAAAAATCCCCAATCAATTTACAAAGTGCCATGCAATTCTGCCTCTTACAGAGCTTGGTGGAAGGCATGATATTCCTTGGATCCAAGGAACGCATACCTGGGGCTCCAGAGTTGAGTTCTGTCAGGGTTTCTTCAATCTGATTTCGAGGCAAATGCTATAGGTTTATGGTCTTCCTCCCAGGCTGCTACTCCTTGTACCGTAGCAAAGTAAAGAGGGGTAATAATGTACTGTACATTGGTGGCTGATGTCCACTTCTAACCCATCCAGAACAATACATGGGCTCCCTCTTATGTATTGTTCAGAGGCAGGGCCCCTGTTTCTATCTTTGACAGCTACATCTTTGAGGAACAGCAAATTGCAGTAGAAACACACACACACACACACACACACACACACACACACACATACATATCAGAAGAACTAGATGTTAGTTCTGATTTCTTTGGAAACTTTACCTGGGATCTTGGACAAGTCACTTTATCTCTTTGAGCCTTAGTTTCCACATCTTGAAATGAATGGGTTGAAGTAGAAGACTCGATAAGATCCTTTCCAGCTTGAGTAATGTTAGATTGATGTAAATTTCCACATGACAGATGGGATTGAATTCTCCAACGCCCTAGACGGTTGGGAAAGAAATTACTATTAGAACCAGAGAGAGATAGTAGGTAGATGTTAAAAAAAAATTCTAAAACACTGGCTGGGCACAGTGACTCACACCTGTCATTCCAGCACTTTGGGAGGCCAAGGCAGGTAGATCTCTTGAGGCCAGGAGTTCGAGACCAGCCTGGGCAACATGGTGAAACCCTGGCTCTACTAAAATTACAAAAATTAGCTGGATGTGGTAGCGCGCACCTGTAATCCCAGCTACTCAAAAGGCGGAGGCAGAAGAATCGCTTGAACCCAGGAGGCGGAGGTTGAAGTTGTAACCGGCAGAAGGTGTCCAGGTACTCGGCATCTCTAACAAAGAATTGGACAAAATGCACAAGGATTTATTGAGAACGAAAGTACATTCCACTGAGTGGGAGTGGCCCAAGTATAGGGGCTCAAGACCCCCGGTTACAGAACTTGTTGGAGTTTCAACACTTTAGAGGCTTCCCATTGGTTACTTGGCTGTAACCAAGAATGAAGTAAAGTTACAGAGTCATTTATTCAGAAGGCACCCTATTGTAAATGGAGAGGATATTACTTGGTGTGTGTGGTCTATGTAAATGGAGAGGATGAAGTGAAGTTACAAAGCCATTCATATTCCTGTCATTGCTGAAGTGCTTTCAGTTTGATTTAGTTCAGAAAGTCACCACGGGTTGGCTGGCCTTAAGTTCCCTGCCTCCAGGCCTTTTTCTCCTGCCTCACAATGAGCCACAATCAGGGCACTGCACTCCAGCCTGGGTGAACCAGGAAAACCTTGTCTCAAAAAATAAATAAATATGGCCAGGCACGGTGGCACACACCTGTCATCCCAGCAGTTTGGGAGGCCGAGGTGGGTGGATCACCTGAGGTCAGGATTTTGAGACCAGTCTGGCCAACATGGCGAAACCCCGTCTCTACTAAAAAAATTACAAAAATCAGCTGAACGTGGTGGCATACGCTTGTAATCCCAGCTGCTTGGGAGGCTGAGGCAGGAGAATTGCTTGAACTCGGGAGGTGGAGGTTGCAGTGAGCAGAGATTGCATCACTGCCCTCCAGCCTGGGCAACAGAGTGAGACTACATCTCAAAAAACAAAACAAAAAACAAAAAACCCAAAAAGCAAAAAATAAAATAAATAAAAATAAAATAAAACACCTACCACGAAAATATAGAATCCCAGAATTTGTCCTCCCACCCGACTCTAAGGGAGTAGTGAAAACTGTGAGCCTAAACATTTTGTTTGTTCTCAGATGTCTGGTCCCCACTGTGGGGTGTTGGAGCCAGCTTGGACTGGCTTGTGAGAGGTGATCGTGTGTTATCTCCTCCCACTCCCTGCTCAGTGACTTCACGGGAGAGCTTGAAATGAGTGGAAGTGGGAGCTTTTATACCACTAAGGCCAGCAAGTGTTACAAATCGGGGCTTATTGTTCCCCATGGAGAGCTGCTTCACCAGCAAAGCACAGCTCCCAATCCATGATTCACTGTGATGGGGAATTGTATGTGTCAAGCTGACCACGGGGCACCCAGAGAGCTGGTTAGACATTACTTCTAGTTGTGTCTGGGAGGATGTTCCTGGAAGAGACTTGCCTTTGGCTTGGTGGACTCATAAAGCAGATGGCACTCCCCAGCATGGCTGGGCGTCGTCCAATCCACAGAGGGCCTGAATAGAACAAAAAGGCAGAGGAAGAAGGAATCTGCTCTCTACCTGGCTGCTGAAGCTGGCGGGTGGGTCACCTCCTTCCCTCAGTGCTCCTGGTTCTCAGACCTTCAGACCTGGACTTGAATCTACACCACTAGGTCTCTAGCTCTCAGGCCTTTGAGCTATGCCACTGACTTTCCTGGGTCTCTACTTGCAGAAGGCAGATTGTGGGACCTCTTAGCCTTCATAATTGCATGGGTCAATACTTCACAGTAAAGCTCTACATACTACATACACATATAAATACATAGAAATAGGCCAGGCATGGTGGCTCATGCCTGTAATCTCAATTGTTGGGAGGGCAAGGCAGGAGGATGGCTTGAGCTCAGGAGTTTGAGACCAGCCTGGACAACACAGGGAGACCTCCGTCTCTACAAAAAAATAAAAAAATTAGCTGGGCATGATGGCACGTGCCTGTGGTCCCAGCTACTTGGGAGGCTGAAGTGGAAGGATCACTTGAGCCTGGGAGGTCGAGGCTGCAGTGAGCTGTGGTGGTACCACTGCCCTCCAGCCTGGGCAACAGAGTGAGACCCTCTCTCAAAAAAATAAAAAATCAATATAAATGTATGTGTATATATGCACACATATGTGTGTGTGTATATATAAAATAGATACTATTGGTTCTGTTTCTCTGGAGAACCCTAATATGTTCATAAATACCACTTTGTCATATATATCTCCTAATGGAACTCATACTATAAAGTTAAGAAAAATAACAATCTGCCTATTTGTAAGTCTCCTTCTACCAAACATAATTTAAATAAATCCCAAAACAAAAAATCAAGGGGAAAAAAGGCAAATAATAACCTAAGTTCATGGCCTAATTCTGAGTCAACTCATGTTTCTCCAAAACTCTGGCCAACAGCTGTTTTCGCCTGGGATCGCTTCTCCATAAATAAGGCTTCACCTTAGACCCAAGTCACTGCCTCAGGCTCACTAGAGCTTCACCGGCCACAAGTTCCATTGGATTCTCTTTGCCTCTCCCTCTAATTTCAACATTTAGACTGAGAATCATGGCTCTCTTCCACCACAAAGCTTATCTGATGCTTCGTTCTCTGGGTAAACAGATTTCCAGCTGAGGCTGCCAGCAGCCCTGAGCACCAGCCAAGTTCTACAGAAAAATTAAGAGTTTGGGGTTCTTTCTCCATGTTCTCAGCTCCAGGCTGGCCATGAACTACCTCTACTCCCCACAGCCCACCAGGCTCCCCGCCACTCCTGCCATGCACCTGGCCTTGCCGGCCCACCTTCCCTGCTAAGCCCTGTGCCCACCTTGCACCTGGCTGCCCTGTTTGGAGCCAGGGTACTGTTGGTGCCCATCCTCTGAACGGCCTCTGGGCTCCTGTCAGACCCTGCATCCCTCAAACTGCTCAAGTGGGAAAGCTGAGTTACTGTAACCAGTGGCAGATTTGGGGGGGAAGGATTAGCATCAAAAAATGTTGAGGGGCGCTCTTCCTGACCCAGAATTTGCCAGTTAAAGGCCAAATCTGAAAAAAAAAAAAAAAAAAAAAAAAAAAAAAAACCAACTCTGCTAAGTACCCCTCATACTAAAGAGAGAAATCCACAGTTGAGCCGCATGAATTGGGGTCAGGCACTGCTGCACGGTTATCGAGGAAGTGCTTCCTACCGGGCAGATGGCCCGACAGGCAGGTGCCCAAATGGGAACCCAACTGGGAAATGGAAATGCTGGTCTCCCTTTCTTGCTCCTCAACCTTCCCCACTTGGCCTCTGCAAAGGGAGAAGAGAAGGCACCCCTCTTCACCTCTGTAGACAGTCTGCCACTGTAAACACTGCTGACCACACAGTTGACCACAACTACCATTTTCTCCCTTTTCATGTCTCTTCTGATGCAAAAAGATGGAGGGGGGCCAGGCACGGTGGCTCACACCTGCAATCCCAGTACTTTGGGAGACCGAGGTGGGCGGATCATGAGGTCAGGAGATTGAGACCAGCCTGGCCAACATGGTGAAACCCCATCTCCACTAAATATACAGAAATTAGCTGGGCTTGGTGGGGCATGCCTGTAATCCCAGCTACTCAGGAGACTGAGGCAGGAGAATCACTTGAATCCAGGAGGCGGAGGTTGCAGTGAGCAAAGATCGCGCCACTGCATTCCAGCCTGGCGACAGAGTGAGACTCCATCTCAAAAACAAAACAAAACAAAACAAAAAGATTGAGGGGAAGGTGGATCAATGGTATTTTGTATCAAAGCCTTAGCATTGAGGGCTTTCCTTAGCAACACTTTATAGAAGGTGGGGTACTTACTTAGAGCCCTTTAACTCTGGACATCAGCTGAAATTGTGGGAGACCAGAAATATCCCACAAACACCTTGTACACACAGTAACCTGAGGCCACTGGTGGGCTGAATTATGGGTTTTTTTGTTTGTTTGTTTGTTTGTTTTTTGAGACGGAGTTTGATTCTTGTTGTCCAGACTGGAGTGCAAGGGTGCAATCTCACCTCACTGCAACCTCCGCCTCCTGGGTTCAAGTGATTCTCCTGCCTCAGCCTCCCGAGTAGCCGGGATTACAGGCATGCACCACGAAGTCCAGTTAATTTTTGTATTTTCAGCAGAGACAGGGTTTTACCATGTTGGCCAGGCTGGTCTTGAACTCCTGACCTCAGGTGATCTGCCTGCCTCCGCCTCCCAAAGTACTGGGAGCCACCACACCCGGCCAAGCTGGGATACTTCTAAGAGTGGAAAAGGGGCATCATCATCAAATTATGCTGAGACCATAGTGATGAAGAGGACTGTCTCAGGCAAACCAAGACATAAGGCCATTCTGTCTCCTACATCTTGAGCTATGGTGCGGTCACCTGCATGTCACGGGGGTCATTGTCACCACCATGCTGCCTTAGCAGCTCCAAGGCCCCCTACTACAGAAGCAGGGCTGGTGTCTGGCAATATCATGTCATGTTCAGAATCACCTCCGTGGGCGTTACAGCAGTGTCAATTTGCCAAAAACTTTCTAGATGTTTACCTTCGATTTCCGTGTTTGTCTCTTGGCAGAGACAACACTTTGAGCAGTGTGGAAGGCTGCCCATGTCGTAGATTTGAGGAGATTTTTATGTAAAAGAGAGACAAAATCTCCCCTTAGCTGAGATTGTAACTGGGAGAAGAGCCACACGAGCAGAGATCTGCCCTGGGCTCCTGGGAGGGAAGCAACTGGAAGGAGACAGAAGGTCACTTTCAGAATCATAAGAGAAGAACGAATGGTCACAGACACAAAAACAGAGCCAATGTTTAGTGAAATGAGATATGCAGGGGGCATGGATGTAACAAATGGAAACCAGCCAGGTGTGGTGGCTCATGCCTGTAATCCCAGCACTTTGGGAGGCTGAGGTAGGTGGATCACTTGAGGTCAGGAGTTTGAGACCAGCCTGGTCAACATGGTGAAACCCCCGTCTCTGCTAAAAATACAAAAATCAGTTGGATGCGGTGTTGGGCACCTATAATCCCAGTTACTGGAGAGGCTGAGGCATGAGAGTCGCTTGAACCTGGGAGGCAGAGGTTGCAGTGACCTGAGATCGCGCCACTGCATTCCAGCCTGGGCAACAGAGCAAGACTTCGTCTCAAAACAAACAAACGTAAACTGCTCAGATGTCAAAGGGAGAAAGCTCTGTACTGGGAGCGTGCTGTTTGGCGGATGTAAGATCTGTAGAGGTTTGTACTTCTCAACACCCCCATCACTGCCCAAAAGGGGACTGCCTTCACATGGGGTGGCTCACTCTATAAAATGGTTCCTTTAAAGATGTTTGTCTCCTGCTGCACATTTTTTTTTAATGTGGCTTTATTCTATGTAAGAAAGGATCTATAATGTGAATACCTCGAAGTCCCCTGGAGATGTTCTTTAATGGAAATAACATATGCTTCTCTTCCACGAATCTCCCAGAATGGAAAATTCTGTGGAAGTCCATGAATTGCACCCACTTTCCTAATAATTCCCAGAAGAGGATTTTGGTCTGCCTTCAGCCCTCCCCTGCGGCTCCACCCGGGGAGCTCAGTGACACTCTCGCAGGTGGCTCTGGCTCTCTGGTGCATGTCACCCCCTGCTGTCACCAGGCCCTCTCCTTTTTCACACAGGGAGGGTGTGAGGTGGAATGATGCTCTACTTCTTTACTTTCTGTCTCCTCCATGTCCCTTCCTTGCTCCGTCCTACCCCGTCCATCGCATGGGCACAGTGATCCCTGACATCATGCAACATGAAGGAAGCCTTGGAAACTGAGGGGCTGGGTCCTGAGGGGGCTCCTGCCTGAGGTCCAGCCATGGGCCTTCCAGGGTACAGCCAGGCATGGGTGGCCCAGACTCAGACATAAGAATGAAGGCAGACTAGACCTGGGATCAGCCAGGATGTAAGGGTGTAAAGGAAGGAAGGAGAGAGAAAATAAGGAAGCAATTGTTCCCTGGAGCCCATCTAAGTGGACACTGCACATTCTGGAAGGCTCTATGGTGGGGACGTAATGAAGTGCCTTGCACTGTCCTCTGAGCTCTAAGGGCCCCTGACCAGTCCTTCCTCTTCCTCACAGGAGCTCAGCTGCTCAGTCACAGCAACCAGCCCAAACTGTAGTGAACCCTAAAACAGCAACGTTCTGCCCTTCCCCCATTCATTTTGTAAGAGGAGAGACACTGCTAGCAATGAGCCAGGCACCCGAGAGAGGTGACAGATGACGCAGACATGGGCGCTGCTCCAGGATGGTCCCAGGTCTCTCAGTAACCCAGCCCCAACTCTCTGCATCTCTTTTCTTTCCATTGATGACGATACCTGGGCATGAGAGATTGCCCTAGGGACATGAGAACTGCTCAAAAGAGAGAACAAAGACATCCTGGCCAGACGTAGCAACTGAAATAGGAATCCCATTCGCTGCACTCATTTTCTTCCCAGGTGGCTGAATTATCTCTCCGGATTCTGGTTTCTGTCTTGTATCCTCAATGGTCTTTAGCATGTGTAAGCATTTATAGATGGCTCCTGGGCCTGGGTGAGGTACACCTGAGCTGCCTGAGCTGAGACACCATCACTGATGGGTTGTGGTGGCCCTTGCCTTTCTTGTCTACTACCACGTGCAACTGGGTTTGCAAAATGTGCGGTGTCTCCTTGGCAAGCTCCGCTAGTGGTTCTCAACCATGGCAGTGCCTTGAAGCTCCCTGGGTGATTCTAAGAGAAGATGGGCCAGTCTCATTCACTAATCTCTCTTCCTTCTTCCTTCCTCATTTTCCAAGTTCAAAACCCAAATATCAGGCAAATAAAAACAAGAGTCCTCCATGCTCACCATGCAACCAAAGGGCTAAGGTCACAAAACACGGTGGGCTAGAATTTGCCTCAAGAACATCCTTGGATTCTCCGTGGTTCCTACTTTGTAAGGTGAATGCTACACCTGGGGGCTCTGATAAAATGTACCTTGGCTATATGTTCCTCTCTTCCTTCCCTTCTCTCCCTTCTTTCTTTTTAAAATTAAGGTAGAGTTGACAAATAAAAATTGTATATATTAAAAATTAGCTGGGTGTGGTGGCACGTGCCCGTAGTCCCAGCTACTTGGGAGGCTGAGGCAGAAAAATTGCATGAACCCGGGAGGTGGAGGTTGCAGTGAGCCGAGATTGCGCCACTGCACTCCAGCCTGGCAACAGGGTGAGACTCTGTCTCAAAAAAAAAAAAAAAAAAATTGTATACGTTTACAGTGACCCTAGCTACTTCTAAAGACCTGCTATCCCAAAGGAGCATCAGCAACTGAGAGGGAGATAAGAAGAGATACAGGAAAAGGAGAGAAAACTTAGGGGAGAAAATGAGATAAGAGAGAGAGTTAGGATGAAGTCACAGTCCACTTCCCTGATTATCTCCAAATGTTGTCACCAGGCAACTCGGCTGATGAGGTGCGGAAAAGACTGTTAGTTGGCACCCAACAGACCTTCCCTTCTCCCATGTATTGTATCTATTTATTCATTTATTTATTTATTTTGGAGACAAAGTCTCACTCTGTGGCCCAGGCTGAAGTGCTGTGGCACGATCTCAGCTCACTGCAACCTCAGCCTCCTGGATTCAAGCAATTCTCCTGCCTCAGCCTCCTGAATAGCTGGGACTGCAGGTGCATGCCACCACATCCGGCTAATTTTTGTATTTTTAGTAGAGACGGAGTTTCACCGTGTTGGCCAGGCTGGTCTCAAACTTCTGACCTCGAGTGATCTGCCCACTTCAGCCTCAAAAAGAGCTGAGAATACAGGCGTGAATCGCTACACCCAGCCCCTTCTTTCATGTATTTTTACAACCCCTTAAGTTTCAGCTCTCTAGCTGTAGATTACAATTGCCAGCCTTCCTTGTACCTAGTTGTGACCACATGCTAAGTTCTGTCCAATGGGATGAGTGCAAGTGATGCCTGTGGTTCTGGCTAGATGCTTAAATGGGAGCTGTTTGTCCATCACTTATTTTCCCTTCTCACTGGCTGGGGGTGATGGTGTTGAGCTCTTCTTGACCATGCAGGTAGACAGAGCATCATTAATGGGATGGCGGAACAACACAATAGGAAAAACCTAGGTCCTCAAAAGACTTCCTGAAAGGGAGCTGCCCTATCTTTCTGGACTCCTTAGCAGTTGGATTTTCACATAAAAGAAGAATAAACTTCTACCTTATTCAAGACACTGTTATTTTCACTTCTAGGAAGAAAAAAGCAGCCAAGTCAATGCCCTAACATCCACCAGCTCTGAAAACAGTTGTGTGGGCTGAGTACAGTGACTCACACTTATAATCCCAGCACTTTGGGAAGCCAAGGTGGGAGGATCGCTTGAGCTAAGGAGTTGGAGGCTGTGGTGAGCTATGATCGCACCACTGCACTCCAGCCTGGGCAACAGAGCAAGACCCTGTCTCAAATAAATAAATTGCTATGGTTTGGATCTGTGTCTGCACCCAAATCTCATGTCGAATTGTAATCCCCAGTGCTGGGGATGGGGACTGGTGGAAGGTGATTGGATCGTGGGGGTAGTTTCTCATGAATGGTTTAGCATTATCCCCTTGGTGCCTTTCTCATGATAGTGAGTGCTCGTGAGATCTGGTTTAAAAGTTTGTAGCACCTGCCTGCTCTCTCTCTTGTTCCTGCTCTTGCCATGTAAAATGCCTGCTCCCACTTTGCCTTCCGCCATGATTGTAAGTTTCCTGAGGCCTCCCCAGAAGCAGAAGCTGCCATGCTTCCCGTATAGCCTGCAGAACCGTGAGCCAATGAAACTTCTTTTAAGTTACCCAGTCTCAGTTATTTCTTTATAGCAGTGCAAGAATGGACTAATACATTAATTAAATAAAATGAAAGGGCAAAACACTGAGAAACATTAAAAATCCTGACAGTGGGGGCTGGGCGCGGTGGCTCATGCCTGTAATCCCAGCACTTTGGGAGGCCGAGGCGGGTGGATCACCTGAGGTCAGGAGTTTGAGACCAGCCTGGGCAACACGGTGAAACCCTGTTTCTACTAAAAATACAAAATTAGCCAGGTGTGGCGGTGCATGCCTGTAGTCCCAGCTACTTGGGAGGCTAAAGCAGGAGAATAGCTTGAACCCAGGAGGTACAAGTTGCGGTGAGCCAAGATTGCACCATTGCACTATCGCCTGGGCAACAAGAGTGAAACTCCATCTCAAAACAAAACAAAACAAAAAACAAAAAACAAAATCCAGAAATCCTGACAGTGGGAATGATATTTTGTCCTTGGTTCTAGGGGATTTTGCTATCCATAGGCCTGTGGAAGGCAGGATTTGACTAAGAGAAGTCTGCGGCCAGCAACTAGGTAGGCCTGTCATGGGATAACCTGAGCAAGTGGTTGTCAGGCCTACCTGGGCCAGCAAAACACGTTCTGGCAGTAAGAATGCTGTTCTTCGTTGAGAGTTCAATCTTGGCCTCTGCAAAGGGAGAATGGAAGGCATCCCTCTTCACTCCTATAAACAGCCTGCCACTGTAAACACTGCTGACCACAGAGTTGACCACAACTACCGTTTTCTCCCTTTTCATGTCTCTTCTGATGCCAGCAAGACTGAGGTGAAGGTGAGAGAGAGACTGGCAAAGAGAGCTCCCGGGCCAAGCTCCTAAATTTCTTCTCTCCTCTTTCCCTTCCCTCCAGAAAGACCAGATAGGCTCTTGCTCCATATCCCAACTCACTACTTAGGAGAGATTAAAATTTATCCTAGCCCTCTGACTCTTCATTTCATATAAATTGGTAGTTGGAGCTAAAGGCTTGTTCAGACATTTGTTTAAATATGATTACTTTGTATTTGTGTTTTTTATCAGGCAAGATAGAATATCTGCTTATCTCCTTTTCTGTGATGTTAGCAGCCATTCATGATTACTGCTCAGGTCCATTACTTAATTAGGGCTTCAAATATTAATATGCTAATTCTATTAGAATAGTTCTATAAAGAACCACCCCCAACTCCATCAATTATTTAGCTACCCAGAGGTAATTTAGCTTCTAAGCCCTTTGACACAACCCAAGTAGTTACTGATAACTTCTATGAGAAGACATTTGGGCTTATTTAGTACAATTCCTGGAATCAACATTTTCTCTAAGACACTGTGTTTTTTCATAGTCCGAAATAGCATTTAGATACCATAGTCTGAGCAATGGCAGTGTTCACTGCTACTGGCTATATTATCGTTTATAGACTTTGTCTGAAGAAAGAACAGGAAATACACAAATTTTTAAAAATGAAACACATCTTAAATTTGCATTAATATTTCCAGTTCAAATTCAAACTATCTTTTACTTAACCTCTTTGATTCTTTCTCAGCTAGTAAAAATCCCAGTTTCCAATGACACAAGGTAAGAATTTGCTTCCCCCACAGTACATATGTAACAGTGTCTGATATCAACACTATCATCAACAATATGATCGTTGAGAAATGTTTAAGATCTATTTTGCAGCATTTTTTGTCTTCATGATATATCCCAATAGGGACGACAGTCAACTGTTTACAGTACCTTGGAAGAGAATAATTCCTCTTTGTGTTTTTATACCACCAATTTATTTGTAGGCTTTTTGTTTTCATTTTAAGTTTTTAGAGATGGCTTTAAAATTTTTAAATCTGGTTTTTATAATTATGTCCAATCTATAAAATTAGATATATTCAGAGAAGTCCAGCTTTTATTCCTGACTTTTCCCCTCCATTCCTCCTTCCTCTGTAGGTTAATTTTTCTGTTGCTTTTGGTTTATCTTTGCTTTTTTGTAATGCAAGACAGCATATATAACTATGTGTATTCCCTTCCTCTATAACGTACATACATTTGTAACCACCTTACTCTTTTTTACTTAACAATATATCCTGGAGGTCACTCCACAAAAATACACAGAGATATTCCTTGTTCTTTTTTTTTAATCAGTGCAAAATACTCTACCAAAATTTATTCAACCATCTTCTATATAGATGGGCATTTGGGTTGTTTCCAGTCTTTCTTCTTCTTTTTTTTTTTTTTTTTTTTTTGAGATGGAGTCTCGCTCTGTCACCCAGGCTGGAGCGCAGTGGTGCAATCTCGGCTCATTGCAAGCTCCGCCTCCCGGTTTCATGCCATTCTCCTGCCTCAGCCTCCTGAGTAGCTGGGACTACAGGTGCCCGCCACCACGCCTGGCTAATTTTTTTTGTATTTTTAGTAGAGACGAGGTTTCACTGTGTTAGCCAGGATGGTCTCGATCTCCTGACCTCGTGATCCACCTGCCTTGTCCTCCCAAAGTGCTGGGATTACAGGCGTGAACCACCATGCCCGGCGGTTGTTTCCAGTCTTTCAACAAACAGTGCTGCCTTATGCAAAAGTCCTGGCATGAACTTTGTTTGGGAGGTGGAATTGCTGGGTCAAGGGCAGTCTACGTGTACTCTTGCTAGATATTGCCAAATTCCACACCATAGCAACTGTGCATTTTGGATTTCTACTAGCAATAAATGAGAGTGGCTTTTTCTTTTTTCTTTCTTTCTTTTTTTTTTGAGACAGAATCTTGTTCTATTGCCCAGGCTGGAGTGCAATGGCGCGAACTCGGTTCACTGCAACCTCCACCTCCCGGGTTCAAGCGATTCTCCTGCCTCAGCCTCCCAAGTAGCTGAGATTACAGGCACCCACCACCATGCCAGGCTAATTTTCATATTTTTAGTAGAGATGGGGTTTCACCATGTTGGCCAGGCTGCTCTTGAACTCCTGACCTCAGGCGATCCACCCACCTCAGTCTCCCAAAGTGCTGGGATTATCTGCATGAGCCCCCATGCCTGGTCTCTGTTTTCTTTTTATAGAAGCTTTAAATAGATACTGTCTTCCTGTTTTGTTCATTTTATGTGTTTCTACAGACAAGAATACCTTTCAGGAGTCTCAGACGAAGAGCAACCTCTCCTATAAGTACTATGTGGTGTCATTTCATTAATAAATGAAAGCTTTAGGGGAGAGGTGTGTCTTTTGATCATATGACAATCTCTTGCTTCTTTCCTTTTACCATTACCCTGCCATGAGCCATCTGCAGAAAGTGCAATAAGGATTGCTGTCTTCCAGGACATTGTGCTGGGTTTTCAGAAAGTTTCCAGAATCCAGTAGAATGAAGTAGACTGGCTAGAGAAAGTAGGCCTAGGGCATTTAAAAGTATCTGAGCCGGCCGGGCACTGTGACTCATGTCTGTAATCCCAGCACTTTGGGAGGCTGAGTTGGGCAGATCATGACGTCAGGAGTTTGAGACCAGCCTGACCAACATGGTGAAACCCTGTCTCTACTAAAAATAGAAAAATGAGCCAGGCGTGGTGGCACGTGCCTGTAATCCCAGCTACTCAGGAGGCTGAGGCAGGAGACTCACTTGAACCCAGCAGGCGGAGGTTGCAGTGAGCTGAGATTGCGCCATTGCACTCCAGCCTTGGTGACAAAGCAATACTCTGTCTCAATAAATGAATGAATGAATCTGAGCCAGGACAAAGAGTGGAGCACAGGACTCCATGCATAATCCAAGCCGAATATCCCCTCTTCTCCGTGACCCTTTGAGTCTCAGAGAAATGGAGGAATCTCTACACTTCATCTTAAAATTGTAACTCTAGATCAGAGAAACAAAGTGGTTCCAGAGAAGGTGAAATGGGGCCAAGCAAAAAATCATACACACAAGATCAAAATAAACCTAGAGTCTGTACAATTGTACCCACATTAACCATAGACCATATTTTTTGTTCAGGAAAGGGATAAAAAGAAATAGAGGGAAATGTATAACAGCAGACTTATATTAGAATATCTGGAATATAAAAAGAACTCTGAAAAACCAATAAGAAAAATACAGTAAAAAATTCAGCAAAACTTGAACAAGTACTTTACACAAGAAAAAATTCAAATGAGCCAAACAACATAAGGAAAGGTGCTCAACCTCATCAGAAATTAGGAAAATGCGGCCGGGCACGGTGGCTCACGCCTGTAATCCCAGCACTTTGGGAGGTCGAGGCGGGCAGATCACCTGAGGTCAGGAGTTTGAGACCAGCCTGGCCAACATGGTGAAACCCCCGTCTCTACTAAAAATACAAAACTTAGCTGGGTGTGGTAACGCACGCCTGTAATCCCAGCTACTCGGGAGGCTGAGGCAGGAGAATCGCTTGAACCTGAGAGGTGGAGGTTGCAGTGAGCCAAGATCATGCCACTGTACTCTGGCCTGGGAGACAGAGGGAGACTCCATCTCAAAAAAAAAAAAAAAATTAGGAAAATGCATCTTAAAGCCATAATCATATCTAAGTATACAACCATTTGTTTGGCACAAGTTTGAAACTCCAGCAATATCATGGGTTTAATAGGAATAACAGGAGTAATAAGAATTCGCAAACAAAACCAGGATTCTATGTAAATTGGTACCAACACTTTGGAAAATTCTTTGACATTATCAACTAAAATTGAACACGGCATACCATATAACCTAACAATTTCACTTCTGTGCTATATTCTCTCCTCTAAAAATGTGAGCACACGTTTACCAGTATACATGGAAGAGAATATTCAGAGTCAAAAACTGGAAACAAACCAAATGCCCATTTACTGTAGGATGGATAAATACATTATTGTATATTCAATGGCATGCTGGCAGATGTTTAACAACAGGGAGAAAAAGCCCCGATTTGTAGCATTTGCTAATTTCCATGGTGCAAATATACTCATCATGGCTAATTTCAAGCTCCCAACATGACATTAACTAGCTTACAAAATTTGTGAACATTTAACAATCAATGCTCATGAGTCTGTATAAGCTGCCTCCAGCACATCCCTGAGGATATTTTTATGTTGTAATACTGTGTAGCAATAAAAATGAATGAGCTAGGCCAGGCGCAGCAGCTCATACCTGTAATCCCAGCACTTTGAGAGATCAAGGCAGGCAGATCACTTGAGCCCAAGAGTTGAAGACCAACCTGGGCAACATGGCAAAATCCCATCTCTACAAAAGATACAAAAACATTAGCTGTATGTGGTGGCATGTGCCTGTAGTCCCAGTTATTTGGGAGGCTGAGGCAGGAGGACTGCTTGAGCTGAGGAGGCCGAGGCCACAGTGAACCATGATTGTGTCACTGAACTCCAACCTGGGCAACAGAGTTAGACCCTGTCTCAAAACAAAAAAAGAAAAAAAAAATGAACTATAGCTAGATGCAACAGCATGGATAAATCTTACAAATATAATGTTGAGCAAAATAAAACACAAAAGAGGCTGGGTGCAGTGGCTCATGCCTATAATCTCAGCACTTTGGAAGGCCAAGGTGGGTACATTGCTTGAGCTCAGGAGTTTGAAACTAGTCTGGGCAACATGGTGAAACTCCATCTCCACTAAAAATACAAAAATTAGCCAGATATGGTGGTGCATGCCTGTGGTCCCAGCTACTGGGGAGGCTGAGGTGGGAGGATGGCTTGAGCCCAGGAGGAAGAGGTTGCAGTGAGCCAAGGTCATGCCACTGTACTCTAACCTGGGTGACACAGTGAGATCTTGTCTCAAAAAAAAAAAAAATCGCCAAAAAGAATACTTATACTTAGAGTATGATTTCTTTTTTTTTTTTTTTTTTGAGATGGAGTTTTGCTCTTGTTGCCCAGGCTGGAGTGCAATGGCACAATCTCGGCTCACTGCAACCTCTGCCTGCCAGATTCAAGCGATTCTCCTGACTCAGCCTCCTGAGTAGCTGAGATTACAGGCATCCACCACCACATCCAGCTAATTTTTCTATTTTTAGTAGCAACGGGGTTTCACCATATTGACCAGGCTGGTCTAGAACTCCTGCCCTCAGGTGATCCACCCGCCTCGGCCTCCCAAAGTGCTGGGATTACAGGTGTGAGCCAACACGCCTGGCCAATTTCATTTATATAAAGTTCAAGACAGGTGAAATTAAATCAGAACATTTAGGGATGCACACTTATGTGATAAAAAAGAAAAAAAGGTGTAAAAACAATAGCAGAAAAGTGACAAAAGTGGCTAACTAACAGGGAAGAAGATTATAAGGGGCATGCGGTGGACTGCTGGGGTGCAGGTGATGCTCTGTTTCTTGACTTTGGTGGAGTAACATGGGTGTTCTCTTTTACATATTTGTTAGACCTCACACATAGACTGCATGCATCTTTTCGTGTGTGGCTAAAATCCATGGTGTCCTGAATCCTGCTCTTCCTGGCTCATACCAACTTGTGAGAATCAACCATGCACGTCTCCTCCCAACTCTGCATTTAGTTACACTACTTTGTCGCTTGAAATCAGCCACAGTGGGAGGATTTACACCACAGAAATTGGCAAACACAACAAATCAGGACTTTCTGTTTTTTCTTTTTTCTTTCTGGAGAGTGGGTCTAACAACACATCACTGGTTAAATTTAACAACATATTTTTTAAAAATATGACTCACAAAATTGGCTTATTGAAGCAGATATGTTTTCACAGCTTCATGCTGTCAACAATTTTAAGGGAAAACTGTATCTTAAAAACACTAAACATGACAAGATCCCTGCAATGAAAAAGTCTTGACAGTTGAGAAGGAGAATTGGTCGTGAGAAATCTGAAGGGTCTGACATTCTTCGTTGTTCGATGTGTAATAAAAAATCATTACCTTGTTGGTAAAATTAAGGATGCTATCTAGTCACTTTTCTCATAGCAAATGTTCTTGGTGAATACTTTGCAAGATGATAAAAGAGATAGTGGATGAGAAGTTTCTCAGTCTACCGTTCAACTCAACTGCCTCCGTATATTTCCAACCAAGGTGGCCCCAAATGTTATTCTGTAGCAACTCTGGCAGTATTCTGGTCAGCTTTCCTTAGTAATTACCTGTAATAACTTGTGAAGCAGTGAAAAAATTACTTGTTATGTATATAAATCTACTTATTTATGTGAGTCTACATTCTCAAAATTTGGCGACCTTAAGCCAGGGTTATATGATGTCAATCTTTGTTCATTTCAGCTTTCCTGATGGTAAATAATTTAAAACCCTATATTAAAATTTTAAAAAGTAATTAGTTTCCAAGGTGAACCATCATCCTGCAGGGAAAGGTGGGGCTGGTACATGCCTTCTTCAGATCCTGCCTTCAGACGCTGAGGGAGTGCATAGCCCACTCCCTTACGGGTTTTTTTTGGCGGCGGGGGTGGGTTATTTATTTATTTATTTTTAATTTTTTTTATTATACTTTAAGTTCTAGGGTACATATGTACAACATGCAGATTTATTACGTAGGTATACATGTGCCATGTTGGTGTGCTGCACCCATTAACTCGTCATTTACATTAGGTATTTCTCCTAATGCTTTCCCTCCCCCTGCCCCCAACCCCACGACAGGCCCCAGTGTGTGATGCTCCCCACCCTGTGTCCAAGTGTTCTCATTGTTCAATTCCCACCTATGAGTGAGAACATGTGGTGTTTGGTTTTCTGTCCTTGTGATAGTTTGCTCAGAATGATGGTTTCGAGCTTCACCCATGTCCCTACAAAGGACATGAACTCATCCTTTTTTATGGCTGCATAGTATTCCATGGTATATATCTGCCACATTTTCTTAATCTAGTCTATCATTGATGGACATCTGGGTTGGTTCCAAGTCTTTGCTATTGTGAATAGTGCCGCTATAAACATACGTGTGCATGTGTCTTTATAGCAGCATGATTTATAATCCTTTGGGTATGTACCCAGTAATGGGATCGCTGGGTCAGATGGTATTTCTAGTTCTAGATCCTTGCAGAATCGCCACACTGTCCTTCACAATGGTTGAACTAGTTTACAGTCCCACCAACAGTGTAAAAGTGTTCCTATTTCTCCACATCCTCTCCAGCACCTGTTGTTTCCTGACTTTTTAATGATTGCCATTCTAACTGGTGTGAGATGGCATCTCATTGTGGTTTTGATTTGCATTTCTCTGATGGCCAGTGATGATGAGCATTTTTTCATGTGTCTGTTGGCTGCATAAATGTCTTCTTTTGAGAACTGTTTGTTCATATCCTTCACCCACTTTTTGATGGGGTTGTTTGCTTTTTTCTTGTAAATTTGTTTAAGTTCTTTGTAGATTCTGGATATTAGCCCTTTGTCAGATGGGTAGATTGGAAAAATTTTCTTCCATTCTGTAGGTTGCCTGTTCACTCTGATGGTGGTTTCTTTCGCCATGCAGAAGCTCTTTAGTTTAATTAGATCCCATTTGTCTATTTTGGCTTTTGTTGCCTTTGCTTTTGGTGTTTTAGTCATGAAGTCCTTGCCCATGCCTATGTCCTGAATGGTATTGCCTAGGTTTTCTTCTAGGGTTTTTATGGTTTTAGATGGATTTAAGTCTCTAATCCATCTTGAATTAATTTGTGTATAAGGTGTAAGGAAGGGATGCAGTTTCAGCTTCCTACATATGGCTAGTCAGTTTTCCCAGCACCATTTACTAAATAGGGAATCCTTTCCCCATTGCTTGTTTTTGTCAGATTTGTCAAAGATCAGATGGTTGTAGATGTGTGGTATTATTTCTGAGGGCTCTGTTCTGTTTCATTGGTCTATATATCTGTTTTGGTACCAGTACCATGCTGTTTTGGTTACTGTAGGCTTGCAGTATAGCTTGAAGTCAGGTGGCGTGATGCCTCCAGCTTTGTTCTTTTGGCTTGGGATTGTCTTGGCAATGCGGGCTCTTTTTCGGTTCCATATGAACTTTAGTTTTTTCCAATTCTGTGAAGAAAGTCATTGGTAGCTTGATGGGGATGGCATTGAATCTATAAATTACCTTGGGCAGTATGGCCATTTTCATGATATTGATTCTTCCTATACATGAGCAGGGAATGTTCTTCTATTTTTTTGTGTCCTCTTTTATTTCGTTGAGCAGTGGTTTGTAGTTCTCCTTGAAGAGGTCCTTCACATTCCTTGTAAGTTGGATTCCTAGGTATTTTATTCTCTTTGTAGCAATTGTGAATGGAAGTACACTCATGATTTGGCACTCTGTTTGTTATTGATTTATAGGAATGCTTGTGATTTTTGCACATTGATTTTGTATCCTGAGACTTTGCTGAAGTTGTTTATCAGCTTAAGGAGATTTTGGGCTGAGACAGTGGGGTTTTCTACATATACAATCATGTCATCTGCAAACAGGGACAATTTGACTTCCTCTTTTCCTAATTGAATACCCTTTATTGCTTTCCCTTGCCTGATCGCCCTGGCCAGAACTTCCAACACTATGTTGAATAGAAGCGGTGAGAGAGAGAGCATCCCTGTCTGGTGCCAGTTTTCAAAGGGAATGATTCCAGTTTTTGCCCATTCAGTATGATATTGGCTGTGGGTTTGCCAAAAATAGTTCTTATTATTTTGAGATACGTTCCATCAATACCTAGTTTATTGAGAGTTTTTAGCATGGAGGGCTATTGAGTTTTGTTGAAGGCCTTTTCTGCATGTATTGAGATAATCATGTGGCTTTTGTCTTTGGTTCTGTTCATGTGATGGATTACATTTATTGATTTTTGTATGTTGAACCAGCTTGCATCCCAGGGATGAAGCCGACTTGATCGCGGTGGATAAGCTTTTTGATGTGCTGCTGGATTTGGTTTGCCAGTATTTTATTGAGGATTTTCGCATCAATATTCATCAGGGATATTGGTCTAAAATTCCCTTTTTTTGTTGTGTCTCTGTCAGGCTTTGGTATCAGGATGATTCTGGCCTCATAAAATGAGTTAGGGAGGATTCCCTCTTTTTCTATTGATTGGAATAGTTTCAGAAGGAATAGTAACAGCTCCTCTTTGTACCTCTGGTAGAATTCGGCTGTGAATTCTGGTCCTGAACTTTTTTTGGTTGGTAGGCTATTAATTATTCCCTCAATTTCAGAGCCTGTTATTGGTCTATTCAGAGATTCAACTTCTTCCTGATTTAGTCTTGAGAGGGTGTATGTGTCCAGGAATTTATCCATTTCTTCTAGATTTTCTAGTTTATTTGCGTAGAGGTCTTTATAGTATTATCTGATGGTAGTTTTTATTTATCTGGGATCAGTGGTGATATCCCCTTTATCCTTTTTTATTGCATCTATTTGATTTTTCTCTCTTTTCTTCTTTATTAGTCTTACTGGTGGTCTATCAATTTTGTTGATCTTTTCAAAAAACCAGCTCCTGTATTCATTGATTTTTTGAAGGTTTTTTGTGTCTCTATCTCCTTCAGTTCTGCTCTGATCTTAGTTATTTCTTGCCTTCTGCTAGCTTTTGAATTTGTTTGCTCTTGTTTCTCTAGTTCTTTTAATTGTGATGTTAGGGTGTTGATTTTAGATCTTTCCTGCTTTCTCTTGTGGGCATTTAGTGCTATAAATTTCCCTCTGCACACTGCTTTAAACGTGTCCCAGAGATTCTGGTACATTGTGTCTTTGTTCTCATTGATTTCAAAGAACATCTTTATTTCTGCCTTCATTTCGTTATTTACCCAGTAGTCATTCAGGAGCAGGTTGTTCAGTTTCCATGCAGTTGTGCAGTTTTGAGTGAGTTTCTTAATCCTGCGTTCTAATTTGATTGCACTGTGGTCTGAGAGACAATTTGTTGTGATTTCTGTTCTTTTACATTTGCTGAGGAGTGCTTTACTTCAAACTATGTGGTCGATTTTGGAATAAGTGCACATGTGGTACTGAGAAGAATGTATATTCTGTTGCTTTGGGGTGGAGAGTTCTGTAGATGTCTGTTAGATCTGCTTGGTGCAGAGCTGAGTTCAAGTCCTGGATATCCTTGTTAACTTTCTGTCTCGTTGATCTTTCTCATATTGACAGGGGGGTGTTAAAGTCTCCCATTATTATTGTGTGGGAGTCTAAGTCTCTTTGTAGGTCTCTAAGGACTTGCTTTATGAATCTGGGTGCTCCTGTATTGGGTGCATATACATTTAGGATAGTTAGCTCTTCTTGTTGAATTGATTCCTTTACCATTATGTAATGGCCTTCTTTGTCTCTTTTGATCTTTGTTGGTTTGAAGTCCATTTTATCAGAGACTAGGATTGCAATCCCTGGTTTTTTTTGCTTTCCATTTGCTTGGTAGATCTTCCTCCTTTATTTTGAGCCTATGTGTGTCTCTGCACATGAGATGGGTCTCCTGAATACAGCACACTGAAGGGTCTTGACTCTTTATCCAATTTGCCAGTCTGTGTCTTTTAATTGGAGCATTTAGCCCATTTACATTTAAGGTTAATATTGTTGTATGTGAATTTGATCCTGTCATTATGATGTTAGCTGGTTATTTTGCTCGTAGTTGATGCAGTTTCTTCCTAGCATTGATGGTCTTTACAATTTGGCATGTTTTTGCAATGGCTGGTACCGGTTGTTCCTGTCCATGTTTAGTGCTTCCTTCAGGAGCTCTTGTAAGACAGGCCCGGTGGGGACAAAATCTCTCAGCATTTGCTTGTCTGTAAAGGATTTTATTTCTCCTTCACTTATGAAGCTTAGTTTGGCTGGATATTAAATTCTGGATTGAAAATTCTTTTAAGAATGTTGAATATTGGCCCCCACTCTCTTCTGGCTTGTAGAGTTTCTGCCGAGAGATCGGCTGTTAGTCTGATGGGCTCCCCTTCGTGGGTAACTCGACTTTTCTCTCTGGCTGCCCTTAACATTTTTTCCTTCATTTCAAACTTGGTGAATCTGGGGTTGCTCTTCTCAAGGAGTATCTTTGTGGCGTTCTCTGTATTTCCTGAAGTTGAATGTTGGCCTGCCTTGCTAGGTTGGGGAAGTTTTCCTGGATAATATCCTGAAGGGTGTTTTCCAACTTGGTTCCATTCTTCCCGTCACTTTCAGGTACACTAATCAAATGTAGATTTGGTCTTTTCACATAGTCCCATATTTCTTGGAGGCTTTGTTTGTTTCTTTTTACTCTTTTATCTCTAAACTTCTCTTCTTGCTTTATTTCACTAATTTGATCTTCAATCACTGATACCCTTTCTTCCACTTGATCGAATCAGCTAGTGAAGCTTATGCATGTATCACATCGTTCTCGAGCAATGGTTTTCAGCTCCAACAGGTCATTTAAGGTCTTCTCTACACTGTTTATTCTAGTGAGCCATTCATCTAATCTTTTTTCAAAGTTTTTAGCTTCCTTGCAATGGGTTCAAAAATCCTCCTTTAGCTCGGAGAAGTTTGTTATTACCGACCTTCTGAAGTCTACTTCTGTCAGCTCGTCAAAGTCATTCCCTGTCCAGCTTTGTTCCATTGCTGGCAAGGAGCTGCAATCCTTTGGAGGAGAAGAGGCACTCTGGTTTTCAGAATTTTCAGCTTTCCTGCTCTGGTTTCTCCCCATCTTTGTGGTTTTATCTACTTTGGTCTTTGATGCTGGTGACCTACAGATGAGGTTTTGGTGAGGATGTCCTTTTTGTTGATGTTGATGCTATTCCTTTCTGTTTGTTAGTTTTCCTTCTAACAGTCAGGTCCCTCAGCTGCAGGTGTGCTGGAGTTTGCTGGAGGTCCACTCCAGAACCTGTTTACCTGGGTATCACCAGCAGAGGCTCAATTGGAAATGCAGAAATCACCATCTTCTGCGTCGATCACGCTGGGAGCTACAGACGTGAGCTGTTCGTATTTGACCATCTTGGAACGTAGTCTTTTTTTTTTTTTTTTTTTTTTTGAGGCAGTTTCACTCTGTAACCTAGGCTGGAGTGCATGGCATGATCGCAGTTCACTGCAACCTCCACCTTCCGGGTTCAAGCTATTCTCCTGCTTCAGCCTCTGAGTAGCTGGGATTACAGGCACCTGCCACCATGCCCAGCTAATTTTTGTATTTTAAGTAGAGACAGGGTTTCACCATGTTGGCCAGGCTGGTCTCGAACTCCTGACCTCAAGTGATCTGCCCGCCTCGGCCTCCCAAATGTTGGGATTACAGGTGTTAGCCACCATGCCCAGCCCCTTACGTCTTTAGTGGTATTTCAGTGGAGAGGTCTCCACTGCTAGAAAAGGAATCCAATGTAAAAAAAAAAATAATTGTTATCATTTCAGCTAAAATATGAATCTGAAAATGATGGATTTGGCTAGATGTTAATATTTTTATGTATAATCTTGCAGTGTGGAAACTTAACTGGAAAATATCACTTTCATTTAGTAGTGGGGGGTGGATAAGGGGTAGGGGTGGGAGAGGCCCTTTAACTTTTGAATGGCAGCTCCCCTGGTGCTGAGACTTTTGGACTTGGATTAAGCCATGATACCAGCATCCCAGGGTCTCCAGTTTGCAGGTGACCTGTTGTGAGACATCTCAACCTCCATAATCATGTGAGCCAATTCCCCTAATAATCCCCCTCTCGTAGCTCTCTGTTTATATCTCTACATTCTGTTGATTCTATCTCGCTGGAGAACCCTAATTAATACAAATGGAGCCATTTACCTTGAATTGACAGTGAGAGAGGAGGAGGACTGGAAGAAACTAACGTATGAGAAAACTATTTTATAATTGCTAATAATTAGAACGTTGAAATGAGTTCAGAGTGGACAGGTATGAATCTACATACCTGCATATGTATCTACATACAGCTCACTGCAGCCTTAGGTGGTGGCTGTCTCTGTTCTCCAAACTCTCAGCCCCATTTTGCTATCCTACCAGCCTGGCAACCCCCTATTGAAGCCACCCTATGGTTCTTGTTTGGCTGTGGGCTTCCAGGATTCCAGCACTTTTTGATGTTGTCAGGGAGGATTTGATTTATATCAGTGGTAACACAAGGTAAAATAAGCAAAGCATTCATCCATCACCACATTTAATAATCATGTCACCAATGGCAGTTCCACCCCCAAGATATCACAGGGATGACTGTCAAAACATGTTTCTAGGAGTGAGAAGAGAAAGAACGGTGTGTTTCTCTTGGGTTCCATCCCCAACCTCTGCCAGAACCAAACCTAAACCATCTGAAGAAGGGGACCACCTCTTTTAATAAAGAAACCTCCTTTTCCAAGTCTTTTTGTGCGTGCACAAAGGTATTTCTAAATATGAGATTAAAATTGGTTAGCAGCAGGCAACGTTAGGTTGGCTGATATTTATACTAAATTATTCGCAATACAATTGTGGTATGCCATGGTGTGAGGAGGCATTGACATCAAACCACAGGCATTGTTGCTGCAGAATTCGTATTGATATTCTAAGCAATAGGAGAGAAGTATTTCAGAACTAATTTCTGAAATAACTGTGGGAAGTAGATAGCAGTTTATGAGAAATATTTGTGGGGTTCTTTAAAAACCAAAATATACATATTCCAATCTAGCCCTCCATCTCTACCTTCTCAATCAGAATGTCTTGAAGTATGAGACAGGCAACTTTGTTCTGAAAAAGTTGAGTCTGCTATATACCCCTGATTGAGATGTATGTTAAGTAGGAATGCTGACTTACTTAACTGAGATTAAAGGATAATGGAGATGTCTCCCTCATCCTTTCAGCAACTTAGAACATTCAACAAAGCGGCAAGTTGCAGTGGCTCACACCTGAAACCCCAGCGCTTTGGGAAGCCAAAATGGGAGGATTGTTTGAGGAGCTGGAGACTAGCCTGGGCAACACAGGGAGAGCCCATCTCAACAATAGAATACAAAAAAACTAGCTGGGCATGGTGGCGCCCACCTGTAGTCCCAACTACTCAAGAGGCTGAGGCAGGAGGATCACTTGAGCCCAGGAGTTCAAGGCTGCAGTGAGCTATGATTGTGCCACTGCACTCAGCCTGGGGGATAGAGTGAGACCCTGTTTGTCTTTATTTTTATTATTATTATTTTTTGAGACAGAGTCTCACTCTGTCCCCCAGGCTGGAGTGCAGCGGCATAATCTTTGTTCACTGCAACTTCTGCCTCCCGGTTTCAAGTGATTCTCGTGCTTCAGCCTCCCAAGTAGCTAGGATTACAGGCAAGTGCCACCATGCCTAGCTTCCTATCTCTCTTTAAAAAAAAAAAAAAGGCTGCATAGTATTCCATGGTGTAAATGTGCATGAAGCTGGAAACCATCATTCTCAGCAAACTATCGCAAGGACAAAAAACCAAACACCGCATGTTCTCACTCATAGCTGGGAATTGAACAATGAGAACACTTGGACACAGGAAGGGGAACATCACACACTGGGGCCTGTTGTGGGGTTGGGGGATGGGGGAGGGACAGCATTAGGAGATATACCTAATGTAAATGACGAGTTAACGGGTGCAGCACACCAACATGGCACATGTATACATATGTAACAAACCTGCACATTGTGCACATGTACCCTAGAACTTAAAGTATAATAAAATATATATATATATAAAAGAAATAAACATGAAAATACATACATATATATATTAAAAAAAAAAAAAAAGGCCAGGCACAGTGGCTCACACCTATAATCCCAGCACTTTGGGAGGCCAAGACGGGTAGATCACGAGGTCAGGAGATCAAGACCATCCTGGCTAACATGGTGAAACCCCGTCTCTACTAAAAATACAAAAAAAAACCATAGCCAGGCATGGTAGCGGGCACCTGTAGTCCCAGCTACTCGGGAGGGTGAGGCAGGAGAATGGCATGAATCCGGGAGTCGGAGCTTGCAGTGAGCTGAGATAGCGCCACTGCACTCCAGCCTGGGTGAAAGAGCGAGACTCCGTCAAAAAAAAAAGTTGTGGCCAGGTGCGGTGGCTCATGCCTGTAATTATAGCACTTTGGGAGGCCGATGTAGGCAGATCACCTGAGGTCAGGAGTTCAAGACCAACATGGTGCACCTCTGTCTCTACTAAAAATACAAGATTAGCCTGGTGTGGTGGCGGGTGCCTGTGATCCCAGCTACTTGGGAGGCTGAGGCAAAAGAATTGCTTGAACCTGGGAGGTGGAGGTTGCAGTGAACCGAGATGGTGCCATTGCACTCCAGCCAGGGCAACAAGAGCAAAACTCCATCTCAAAAAAAGACTTCTACATGCAGACGACTTCACTGGGTCAGCAGCTGGGTGAGGTGTTGGGTGCTCTCCTGCTAGAAGAACTGAGAAACCACGCAGGTCCATTATAGACTCCCCTGGGGAGCCACACACTCTGATCTCACAGATGTTCCTAATTTAGATTTTCCTTTTCTTAGGCAATACTTGTGCACATGTTTGAGATGAGTAAGAAGAGCATCTCCTCTTCTTCTGTAGGATGTAGTAGACATATGTTGCTCAAAATTCTTTCCCTTAGAAAACCACCCACACCCTGGTCTATTACAATGCTGACTATGTGATCTGGGGATTGGTTCCAGGTCCCACCCCCTCCCCACCACAGACACCAAAATTCAAGGATACTCAAGTCTCTGATGTAAGATGACATAGTATTTGCATATAACCTACACACATACTCCTGTATGCCTTAAATCATCTCTAGATTACTTACAATACCTAATACAATGCCTACACATCTCTTCATTCACATGGATTCAATGTAGTACTCAGTGTGTACAAATTCAAGTTTTGCTTTTTGGAACTTTGTGGAATTCCTTCCCCCCCAAATATTTTAATTTGTTTTTTTTTGAGATGGAGTTTCGCTCTTGTTGCCCAAGCTAGAGTGCAATGGTGTGATAACGGCTCACTGCAACCTCCGCCTCCTGGGTTCATGCCATTCTTCTGCCTCAGCCTCCCAAGTAGCTGGGATTACAGGCGCACACCACCATGCCTGGCTAAGCTTTTTGTATTTTTAGCAGAAATGGGGTTTCACCATGTTAGCCAGGCTGGTCTCGAACTCCTGACCTCAGGTGATCCGCCCGCCTTGGCCTCCCAAAGTGCTGAGATTACAGGCGTGAGCCACCGCACCCAGCTCTCCCCCAAATATGTTCAATCAGCAGTTGGTTGAATTCAGGGATGCGGAATCCATGGATATGGGAGATCTACTGTACCCAATTTCCTTGGGCACAGTGGTTCAGGAGTAGACATGTGACTCAAGCCAGAAAAACCAGTCTTCCCTGTTTTTGTAGGAGAGATTTTCTCTCTTCTACTGGGGTCATAAGCCCTTAGAGCCTTGTGGCCTGAGCCACTAGAGGCCTTCTTGCCGTATATTTGGAAAGACCTGGATGGCGAAAAGAAGAACTAAGAGATGAAGAGAGATCCCTGGATACATCTAAATACAGCCTAAATACATGGACTTTTCAGTGATGTAAACCAATAAATTTATTTTCTCCACTTTGAGTTTGAGTAGGGTTTTTGTCACATGTAACAAAATAATATTATTCTGATTAACATATCTATTACAGTCACCAGATTTATCAAATAAAAATATAGAATGCCTAGTTAAATTTAAATAATGTTTTAGTATAAGTATATCCCACATATTGCATGGGATATGCTAAAAAATTTCATTGATTATTTTCAAATCATATTTAACTTGGCACCCTGTATTAGTTATCTGACAACCCTATCTGGGATACATAATTTCTGTCAACAGTGTTTTAAAATTCCCTGCTCAACTATTCACAATAGCAACAAAGACATGGAATCAACCTAGGTGTCCATCAATGGTAGACTGGATAGAGGAAGTGTGGTATATATACACCATGGAATACTACGCAGCCATAAGAAAGAATGAAATCATGCCCTTTGCGGCAACATGGATGCAGCTGAAGGCCATTATCCTAAACAAATTAACACACGAACAGAAAACCAAACACTGCATGTTCTCACTTTTAAGTAGGAGCTAAATCTTGGGTACATGTGGACATAAAGATGGGAACAGCAGATACTAGGGACTTCAAAAGGAGAGAGGGAGGTCAGGGCTGAAAAATCTCCTACCGGGTACAGTGTTTGCCACCTGGGTGACGGGATCAACAGAACCTCAGTATCACACAATTTACCCTTGTAACAAACCTACACATGTACCCCCTTGAATGTAAAATAAAAATAACAATTTAAAAAAGAAAGAAATCAGGAGTGGCTAGTTTTTCAACATATTCTCAATTCTATCATTCTATATTTTAAAGTTAATTAAAATAATTTTTTTTTTTTTTTTTTGAGATGGAGTCACGCTCTGTCACCCAGGCTAGAGTGCAGTGGTGCGATCTCGGCTCACTGCAAGCTCCGCCTCCCAGGTTCACACCATTCTCCGGCCTCAGCCTCCCGAGTAACTGGTACTACAGGCGCCCACCACCACGCCCGGCTAATTTTTTTTTTGTATTTTTAGTAGAGACGGGGTTTCACCGTGTTAGCCAGGATGGTCTCGATCTCCTGACCTCGTGACCCACCCGCCTTGGCCTCCCAAAGTGTTGGGATTACAGGCGTGAGCCACCGCGCCCGGCCAGATAAATTTTGTTTTATAATTTAAAATAAAATTCCCTGCTTAGAAGACAGCAATCAGCAGGTGGATTTTCCCTTAAAGAACATGGAGAAAAAACAAAGACAGTTTCTGCAGAGCCATAGACAGAAACATCCTAATTAAATCTTTCTTCTCCAGGTCATTCCCGCTTTGAATAAGCCAGATGAGGAAGGTGGGCGCTCTAGGGTCAGGCTATTTAGTCCTCGTCAGATGTATAAATACTTCAGTGACCAGTGGTATCCATTTTTGCTGTACATTAGAATCACCTGCAGAAGCTTAGATATTCCAATGTCCAGGGCGCACCCAGACAGATACAATCAGAACCAGGGGACCACACAGGCGATTCCAGTGTGCAGCCAAGGCTGATACCACTGAGCTAAGCCCTTGAGAAGACTCAGCCAAATTGGAGGAGTTAAAACAAGAAATGAGAAGGGTCCTCCCCTCACCACCTCTCCTCCCTCCCGAACTGGGAGCAGATGGGAAGTAGCGCACAGGTAGGCTGGCTGCTGGGCCACCTTGCTAACCCTGCCACAGGGCTGTGGGCCTTAGCTTCAGGTTTGCCTTCACATAGCCATGTAGCTGGCAGGTGTTTGGGCCACAGAGAAGCAGACAAGGAGGCTCCCTGAGCTCATGGTTGGTGCCAGAATAAACACAGCATCTGGCAGGTTGAATGTGAGTTTCATGCCTGAGCTCAGCTCAGCACAGGGTTCCAGAGCAAAGATGAATTCCCACCAGGAAGCATGGGGGGAAGGAGGGAGGGAGGGATGGGCGAGGCACGGTGGGGAGAATGTGTGCTAGATGGCTTTCTGTGATAACCATGAACAGCTTCTCTTTCTGCTCTCACCAGCCCGCCGCTCAGGCCTGAGAGATCTGCCAGAACACATCCCTCCTGGAGCCAGGTCCTGATTCACGGCTTTTCATTACTGCGTTTCATTCTCAGAGGAATAGACCCTCCTCAGGGCCTCAAAATCACCAACAAGTCTCGAGAGGTTGGCAGGAAGTGCCTCCTCTCCCACGCCTCTCCTTGCCCGCACAGCCTCTGTTCCAGCTCGCCCTCCCCCTTGCTCACCACCATCATGTCCCCGGTGTGCAGGTCAGCACTAGCTAACTATCTCTTGGAGGAATTACTGAGCCAGTGAATGGAACAGGGGCAGCGGCTCTTAACCAGCAGCCCCTGTCAGTCCCAGATCCCGGATGAAGACACCGGATCCCCCCAAACCCTGCGTGTTCTTAATTGGGTCCCCAAAGCCCCCGGCGTTCTGCTAGGCATCCTGAATGCACACAATCAGCCGGCTGAAAGGAAACATCTGCAAGTCTTTCTGATTAAATCGACTTGGAACTCTGCCCCTTGAAGCGGTTATAAAGACTGCTAGTGGCCAGGCATGGCCAAACCTCAAGACTGGTCTGTCCTGGTGTGGGGTGGGCTTCACTGATGCTCAGGCAAGGTCCAGGACAGGCTGGCAGAATCCTGTCCCCGGTGGTGCTAAGTGGGTTCCAGCCATTTCCCAGAAGCCACTGTGGCTCTTCAATGCTAGGATGGGAGGCTCAGCTCAGAACCAAGACCTTTTCAAGTTTAAGGCCTTGAGTGGTCAGCAGGGGAGCAGAGCTTAGACAAAGGGAACAGGAGCTGCAGCTGGGACAGCCAGCACCCACACACCTGGGCTTTGGAAAGAAGTGCCCAGAGGTGAGCGGCATTGGGGGGGATCAGCTGTCTTCATCCATGATCTGGGACTGGCAGAGGCCGGCCGGGTAAGAGCCGCTGCCACCATTCCATCCCCTGACTCAGTAATTCATCCAAAAAATAGTTACCCAATGCTGACCTGTACGTGGGGGACACGATGATGGTGGGCAAAATTGTCACGGTCCCTGCTGCCGTGCCCCTCCCATTCCCACTCCACTATTTAGATTTGTAGCCAAACAGCCAGGGTGAGAAGGGGACAAGAGAACACCTGTTCTTCCTGAACAGGGAAATTAACCTGAAATGATTCCCTAGCACATTCGCTCCACGTGGGAATCTGTGGGAGGACGCTTTTAAGAGCATCACAAGCTAATTCACAGCTATTTTAGGAAACTTTCAAAACCATCTCATTTCCCCTAAGAAAGACTGGTTCACACCCCTTTGTCTCTGGGGTGTGGGGGTGTCTTGCTCTGATCTAACCAAGGTTAATGTCTACAGTCTTCCCCCCTGCAGTGGAGGGGATCACTACTAAAGGGAGGCCCTGCCAGAGAATAGACTCATCTTTCTCTCTCTTTTTTTTTTTTTTTTTGAGGCAGAGTCTTGCTCTGTTGCCCAGGCTGGAGTGCAGCAGCGCGGTCTGGCTCACTGCAACCTCCATCTCCTGGGTTCAAGTGATCCTCCTGCCTCAGCCTCCCAAGTAGCTGGGATTATAGATGCCCGCCACCACACCCAGCTAATTTTTGTATTTTCAGTAGAAACGGGGTTTCGCCATGTTGGCCAGGCTGGTCTCGAACTCCTGACCTCAAGTGATCTGCCCACCTCAGCCTCCCAAAGGGCTGGGATTACAGGTGTGAGCCACTGCGCCCGCCTGTCTTTTTAAGACAATAGAAGTTAGTAGGGGCCAGGAGATCACCTTGGAATCACAGAAATTAGATTTCCTCAAACCAGATGATGGGGAGAAGCCATGGTGGCCTGAAAGAAATGGCCACCCGGTCTTACCTTACAGGTGCAGATTCTGCTGGAACCAGCCCTACTGGGCACTCCTGAGCCGCTTGTCCCTGCTACAGCTGTGACACTGGTAGCTCCAGTCACAGAGGGACTTCCGTTCCATGAGGAGCCTCAGTGGGCGTGCTAGGTGCCAACAGCCCATGCCGAGGGGCTGCTTCCCTGGCTTCACCTGCTTCCAGCCCTCATCTTCAGCCAGAAACTCAGCTGCGCCTCTACCCTAAGACTGGTCTCCCGTTGGAGTGTCCTCCTGCCAGCGGGGGGCGCTGTGGGACCCACGAGAACCGCTCCTCCTTGGCTTGACTGCTCCGTCCGTCCCCAGAGAGGATGAGACTGAAAGAAACTTAACCCAAAGGTGCCATGACATTAGGCTGGAAGTGACACTGAGGTGCTGCTATCTGGCTGGGCAGCTAATCTGATCATTAGCTACTCCCTGTAGCTCACCAAAGCCAGCCTCTGCTTAGATCTCACACCCGTTGGTTGCTGTCAGCAAAAGGAGACAGGCTCAAGGAAGACTGGACTCCCAGTTGAGAATGCACACGGGATAGGGCCTCCTTACTCAGGGCATATGGTCTTGGACTAGCAGCGTCTGCATCTCCTGGGAGCTTCTAGAAATGCAGAATGTCAGGCCCCAGCCCAGATCTGTTGAGTCATAATCTGCATTTTATCAAGATACACAGGTATTTTCCATGTAGGTTTAAGTTTAGAAGCACTGCACTAGCGGACATCCTTGCGCCTCAGTTACCCCGCAGATGGGTCTTTTACTGTGTAAGCATTTTATCTGCATCTCTTCATTTTCTCTCCTCATTTCACTTTTTGCCCTAGGAGGTCACAAGCATCAATCGTCATGCAGACTGGAGCTAGAAAAAGATTGACAATTTCACCATGCCTGCCTTAGCATATGGCTCTTAGGTTAGTATAAGGTTGGTCACCAAGTAATAGGTTTGAGTTTTCAAAACAATCACTAAGAGGTCTGGATATTCATTCCTAAGTCCTTTCCCTCCCACTAGGGGAGTGTCTTCAAGGCATCTTGGTTATGGTCTAGGGTTGTGGAGTGGTTGCCAGGGTTGCCTAATCCCTAAGTATCCCAAGTCTTATCTGAGGATTGATGAAATATATCACATACAAGCCAGACACAGTGGCATGTGCCTGTAATCCCAGCCTCTTGGGAGACAGAGGCAGGAAGATAGCTTGAGTCCAGAAGTTCAAGACGAGCCTGGGCAACATAGCAAGACCCCATCTCTAAAAAAAAAATTGAAAGAAACACAGAAATATATCACATGCATGTATTACTATTACTCAATTATTACAGAGATACAGATGCACTTTAATAATTCATTTTGAAAACTTTTTGCAGTGTCTTTTGTTAGTTCCAATCACTAAGATGCTGTGTTCCATGGAAAGGGGCCATATTCATCAAGAATTTGAGAACCATGGCTCTAGCGGTCTGAAGCTCCAAGCTCCTAAGACTGCCTAACCAAAACAAAGACACTGGTATATATTTTCCATTCATTTATGAGTTTTCAAAAAATTTAGGTCTTTATTAAGAGTTAAATATAAACATTAACTCATTGTGTTACAGAGAAATAGGGTCTTTGGAGGAACTGTTTGAACATGGGTCACAGTTACTTGTTTATGTAACACGATTTAGAGGGGTACAAAGATCCTTGGCAGGAAGGGTAGGAGGAGGAGATGGAGGAGATGGGAGAGAAGGAAGGAAGCACCTGTGAAATCCCTACCTTCAACCTTGTCAGTTTCCAATTTGCATATGCTCATGTCCCTAATGAAAAGCACCTCCAAAATAGACTTCTTTCATTTAGATATATGTATTTTTGCGTTATGACTTTTTCCATTACAACAGCACAAAACCCAAGAAGGTAGCTGGTGTGGCGATGCACAACTGTATTCTCAGTTATGAGGGAGGCTGAGATGGGAGAATCACTTGAGCCCAGGAGTTCGAGGCTACAGTGATCTATAATTGCACCACTACACTCCAGCCTGGGTGACAGAACAACCTCGTCTCTTAAAAAAAAAAAAATTTAAGTAAACTAGACTTGAAATCAGGTTTTCAAATTGCTGTATTACAAAGTCTTAAATCACGATTAAAAAAATAACAAAACTTGCCTATAATCCCAACTACTCAGGAGGCTGAGGTGGAAGAATCACTTGAACCCAGGAGGCGGAGGTTGCAGTGAGCCGAGACTGCGCCGCTGTACTCAGCCTGCGCGACAGAGTAAGAGTCTGTCTCAAAAAAACAAAGAAACAAACAAACAAAAACATAAAAATAACAAAACCCAAGATGACATGAATGTAACAAAGATAAACATTTTGTTCTACTGAACAGTTTCTTTTATCTTGGTCTTGTCCTTCTAATTTTCTTTCTTTGTGTATGTTTTATATGTTCATAAGTAGGTATAGTATATGCCTATAATTTCCAGAAATATAAATATTCATCTATTCAGAGCACAATGTTCAAAAATATTTTATCATAAGGATGCACAACAAAAACTGTTTAGATATCCCTGAACTAGATTAATACCTCTTACCATCTTTTGTCAACAAATGGGTCAGAAAAGTCCCTTCATTGCCATTATTTACAGCCAGTGTCGTGCTACCAACATTCTCTACGCCTGAGTCATCCTTGTTCATGTTCACATTCGAGCTTGTTCATTTAGCACCAGACTTGGAAAGAAACTGCAGGAAATGTGCATTTCTGGACGACTCGAACAATTTTACCTCACGCTCTTCCCTGCTCCGGGCTGGGATCCAACTCTGAAAAAACCTGAAATTCACAGATTCAAGGGAGACTTTTCTCCATGTTTCTCAGGAAGTAAACAGGGTATGGCTGACACGGCAACACCCTTTTCCAGGCAAAGAGCAAAATGCAGCAGGGGTTTGGACCTCAGTGCAGTTTTCACTGGAACTTGGGCTGTGTCTGGGTGCCAGAGAATTTTAAAGAGCAAGCAGGTACCTCAGGGATCTTGTTGTCAAACCCCTCATTATATGAGTGAGACACAGAAGGACAAAGTTGGAATGAACTATGCAAGATCACATAGCACGCTAGTGGCACATCCGGGACCACCACCCAGTCTCTCCAGTCTCCCCCTCTGTGGCTGATGTGGGGGAGGGACAGCTTGAGGAGCAGGGGGAGTTTCTGGCTTGTGATGAGACATGGCTGGACAATGTCTGGTGGTGTTAGATCCCAGACAGCGTTTCCACAGAACTCTTCCATGCACTCTAACCCAGGTGCCTGTGTGGGGTCTCTGGTGAGAGATTCATGGGGTCCCCCGTCTGGGAAAGGCTGTTTGGTACTGCCTGCCTCTGGAAAGTAGAAAGCTCACTTACAGCTTCTTCAACCTAGAAACAATCTTTGTACAGGATGGTGGTCGCAAAAGTCCAGCTCTTCTAATGGTGTCTACGGCTCCAACATATAGAAAAGGTCTGGAAGACCTGAAGTGAGGTGGGGGATGGGTGTGTGTGTTCCCCACTGCCGTATCCATCCTCAGTGCCTAGGACAGGGCCTGCCTGACACGTAGGAGGTCCTCAGATTTTTTTTTTGAGACAGAGTCTTGCTCTTTCGCCCAGGCTGGAGTGCAGTGGTGTGATTATAGCTCACTGTACCCTTGACCTCCTGGGCTCAAGAGATTCCCCTACCTCAGCCTCTGGAGTAGCTGGGACTACAGGCACCAAACACCACACCTGAATGATTTTTGTATTTTTAGTAGAGTCGGGGTTTCACCATGTTGGCCAGGCTAGTCTTGAACTCCTGGCTTCAGGTGATCTGCTCACCTCTGCCTCCCAAAGTGCCAGGATTACAGGCGAGAGCCACTGCACCTGGCCAGGTGTTTTTTTGTTTTGTTTGTTTTGCTTTGTTTTTAAGAGACAGGATCTCGTCGTGTTGCCCAGGCTGGAGTGCAGTGGTATGATCATAGCTCACTGCAGCCTCGACCTCCTGGGCTGAAGAGATTCCCCTACCTCAGATCCCTGAGTAGCTGGGACGACAGGCACACACTACCACATCTGGCTAATTTTTAAATTATTTTTTTGTAGAGATGGGGTCTTACTATGTTTGCTCAGGATGGTCTTGAACTCCTGGGCTCAAGCAATCCTCCTGCCTCAGCCTCCCAAAGTGCTGGGATTACAGGCCTGAGCCACCGTGCCTGGCCCAGAAATTTTTGTTGAATAAAAAACGCCTCACCTGAGAAGGTGGGGGAGAGACGAGTGGAGAGGCCTAAGTTTTTCACCTACTCGGGCTGGGTTTGAGGGTGGCCAGAGGGTTAGGAGCTGGATGTCCAGCCATGAGCATAGTGAGGAAGAGATAGCCCAGTCTGCCCCTGTCTCTCTTTGTGCTGACCTGCTGTAGGCTGCGCTATATCCAAGATAGGCCCAGGAGGCCTCAGTGAACACTCACTTTATATTTTTCTTCTAGTTTTCCTTCCAGCCCTCTGCTTGGCCGTTTCTGCTGCCAATTCTTGTCTTGTTGGGTTACATGGCCACCGGCTTGGGCCGGAGGGGCCCTTACACCAGTGGCTTCCTCTCTCTGAGCCCCATCTTCCCGAATACAGGCAGAGATGAGGGGGCAGGCCATTGCCACACACCTCCCGGCCTGCCACGGAGCTGGATGATGACTCCTGGGGAGGGGCTTCAGGCACTGCAAACCCCTTTGCACGTGTGCATGGGAGGATGGGGTCACCTCTATTGGGTCCAGCTGCATGTTTTGCCTGTGAGCTTCCCTGCCCTTCTTCAGGAAAATCCAGCCTAACTGGCTGTTTTCCGAGCAGCCTCTGTGCCTGGGTTTCATCCACAGTTCTCAGAATCATTCACTGCGGGGCAGGACTCGGTTCCCACCTCCCCGTGGAGCATCAGAACCCTCATGTTCTTTAAAAAGGCACTCAGGCCGGGTGCCATGACTCATGCTTATAATCCCAGCACTTTGGGAGGCCAAGGTGGGAGGATCACCTGAGGTCAGGAGTTCGAGACCAGCCTGACCAACAAGATGAAACCCTGTCTCTACTAAAAATACAAAAATAATTAGCCAGGTGTGGTGGTGCGCACCTGTAGTCCCAGCTACTCAGGAGGCTGAAGCATGAGAACTGCTGGAACCGGGAGACAGAGGTTGCAGTGAGCTGAGATCACGCCACTGCACTCCACTCTGGGAGACAGAGTGAGACTCCATCTCAAAATAAATAAATAAGCATGTGTTGACACCCTTTGGTGGGTGGGATGTGCCTGTGGATTGGAGGCCTTTGGCCGAAGCTTATTTTTTCTCTGATGAGTTAAAAGCTCCTTCTCAGGATTCATAGGAAATGTTTCTTGACTTTTGAAGTGTCCTCAGGGAAGTTTGCTAATGCTTTGGTGTTTGTGCTGTATTCTTATAGCAATAAAGACTTTAAAGGCATGAGATAGATGTAGCTTTGAGAGCGGCTTGGCTCTCTCTGGCATCACGTTGGTTTATCACAGGGTGGTTTGGGCCTCACCATGCACACACAGACCACAGATCCACAGCCCAGGCTCCCCTACCCCTGCCATCAGCAAGGGTCAGCCACAAGCACGTAGACACAGGGAGGACGGTGTGGTTGGCAGCCTTTTAGAGGCCCCTGCTGGGCCCCATGTTCCTGGTATTTCGGCCCTGGGTTACTCCTTCCCTTGAGTGTGGGCTGAACATAATGACTTTGTTCTAACAAAGAGTACGGCAGAAGCAATGGGGTATCATTTCCAAGATTAGGTTTTAAAAAGACTGGCTGGCATCCTGGGTACCTGTTCTCTCTCTCTCCCTCCCCCCACCCCCCACCCACCCCCTTCCTTTTGCATCACTCGGGCTGGGGAAGGCAGGCTGCCTTGTAGGGACCAGCCCTATGAAGAGGCCCGCACAGTCGTGAGAACGAAAGACCAAGGCCCTTGATCCCACAGTCAAGAGGACCTAAAGCTGTCCCCAGACATAGAGTGAGCTTGCAAGCAGAGCCTTCAGTCCTGGCCAAGTCCTGGGATGTGGCAACCCCAGTGACAGCAGCTTGACCTTAACCTCGGAGCGTCCCGGAGCCAGAGGCACCCAGCCAAGTGCACCGATTTTTGACCCATAGAAGCTGCGAGATCGTGTTTGTAGCTTGAAGTCGTTTAGTTGTAAATATTTTGTTACACATCCAATAGATAATTAACGTGATGGAAAGAAATGAGGAAACGGAGAAATGGTGAAATTGGAGAAAATGAAGTGAAGAAAGAGCGAGGGGAGGGAAAGAAGGATGGAGTGGGTCCCTGTGAGCAGGACCCAAAGCTACTGCCTGCTGCCATGGCGTGGCGAGGGCGCCTGCTCTGGCCTGAGGCGGCCGGGGTCTGAGTCCTGGCTCTGCTACTGCGTTAGTTTGCCAGGGCCTGTCCTAATGAGATGCCACAGACAAGGTGGGTCTGACAACCCCCCAGAATGCATTGCCTCAAGGTGTGGAGCGCCGAAGTCCGAGCCAGTGTTGGTGAGGGTGGCTTTTTCTGATGTCTGTGGGAGCCCCTGTCCAGGCCTGTCCCCAGCCCCTGGTGGTTTTCTGTCTCAGGGTCAAATTCCCCACCCCATCCCCATTTTTTATAAGGATACCATTCATACTGGATTAAAGCCCACCCGAAAGACCCTCTTTCCAAATAAGGTCACATTTTGAGGTATTGGGGTTAGTGCGCCAATATGTGACTTTCAGGGTGGCAGAGGACACGATTTAACCCACAACAGCCACTTAGTGGTGGTGCCTGGAACAAGCCATTTCACCTCTGTGTTCCTCAGTTTCTTCATCTATAAAACTGGGATATAATCACATATTTTTTCTTTTTTCTTTTTTTTTTTTTTAAAGACAGAGTCTTGCTCTGTCGCCCAGGCTGGAGTGCAGTTGTACGATCTTGGCTCACTGACACCTCCACCTCCCAGACTCAAGCTATCCTCCCATCTCAACCTCCTGAGCAGCTGGTACTACAGGGGTACGTCAACACACCTGGTGAATTTTTTGTATTATTATTATTATTATTATTATTATTATTATTATTGTAGAGACAGGGTTTTGCCATGTTGCCCAGGCTGGTCTTGAACTCCCGGGCTCAAGCAATCTTCCCACCTCGGCCTCCGAAAGTGCTGGGATGACAGGCATGAGCCACCGCGCCCAGCCTAATTGTACTTATCTGATGGAGTTGTTACAAAGATTGAAGGAGTTAATATCACAAGAGTGTTTAAAACAGTGGCTGGCACATGGTGCTGTCTGTTAATCAATCAACCAATCAATCAATCCATCTTCTAGAATGCACCTGTGAGCAGTGTTTCTAACATGTGGTAATTGACATACATTATGGGCCAGGGGCAGGCTTGTCTATGATGATCCCCATCAGTAGCCAGGTCTGTGGGTCTTTCCCTGCTTTTGGGGGGCATTTCTCTCTGTCCTTTTCCATCTACATAGACTTTAGGGGGCTTTGCTGAGGAGTCGATGAGTTCCGGAAGGCAGGCACAGTGGGAGGGCTCCGGAAGGCTGGGAAGGGCAGAAGATTAGTTCAGACAAGAGGATGTTCCATATTCTGGCTGAAACAAAGCCTGGGAGGCCTGGAATTAATTCTGGACTGTCGTAGAGGAAGGCTGGTTATCACTTACAGTTGCAGTTCAGATTTGTTTAGCTGGAAGTTACGGGGTTTCCAGGCAGCTGCTCTGTCTCTCGGCTCAAGGCTATGTGATAACAGAGATCCTTATTCAATTGATCGAGGCCTCAGCATTTGTCAAATGCTCCCAAGATGAGTGGAATATGCAGTCAGGAATGGGAACCACAGAAAGAGTCCCTCACTACTCAAACTGTGGTGCAGGGATCAGCAGCTGTGGCACCCCCTGAGAGCTGCTTAGAAATACTCTGGTCCCAGGCCAGAGCTGCTGAATCAAAATCTGCAGTCTAGCAAGATCCCTGAGGGACCGAAGTGTGAGAAGCCCTGGGCTGCAGCTCTTGAAGCAGGGGCAGCTTGGAGGGCTCCTGCTGGGAGCACAGCTGAGGAAGTGGGGCTCTGCCCAGGGGGAGCTGGAGGGATGTGAAGTCCTTCCCACCTGCAGGGTTATTTAATGCCTTTATCAGCTCCGGAGTAAGCACTGTCTTCTTCCTGGGGGCGCCAGGTGACAAGCCCCTTGGGCTAGGTGAGTGCAAAAGTCAGCTGTCTTCCCATGTCCGCGCTGGGAACCAGCTGGCCCTCATTAGAGGAGTCGGTCACTGCACTCTTTTTACCCCCCTCCCGAGACAGAGTCTTGCTATGTTGCCCAGGCTGGAGTGCAGTGGCAAGATATCCGCTCGCTGCAACCTCCGCCTCCCAAGTTCAAGCGATTCTCCTGTCTCAGCCTCCCAAGTAGCTGGGATTATAGGCGCACACCATCACGCCTGGATAATTTGTGTGTTTTTAGTAGAGATGGGGTTTCGCCATGTTGGCCAGGCTGGCCTTCAACTCCTGACCTTGAACTCCTGATCCGCCCGCCTCAGCCTCCCAAAGAGCTGGGATTACAGGCGTGAGCCACTGCACCCAGCCGGTCACTGCACTCTTATGCGTGATGAGAGCCAGGTCGGGTTACGGTTGAGGTATTGGCAGCTCAGTATCTCGTGAGCTTTTCTCCACTTGCTGATATAAACCACCTGACCCAGCGAGCCCCCACTAGAAAGATTTAGATCTGATGTGCTCAAGAAAGAAGACATAATGTTGAAGATAAAGAAGTGTTAGAGAGAGGGAACCCACAGGCGGACAAAAGAAAAGGGGTTCACTGGTGGACCAACAACTGCCTTTTCCTGGCCCACGAAGCCTTTCTAGAGAGTCAGGCGGATGAGTTCATGCTAAATAAAGTTCCTCTCAGGGGAGGCTGGAAGAACACAAGAGATCTGAGACACTTTCTTAAAAATAAATCAGTAGCTCTGAGGGTAATCTGGAGGAGAAAAGCAGATGCCAGGCAGGCTGCGAGTCTGTGATGAACCTCCGTGTGCACGCACTGGACTTCCTGGAGTTATTCATCAGGATGAGGGGCTGGCCTAACTTTAAAAATCAAAAAGCCAGGCCAGGGGCAGTGGCTCATGCCTGTAATCCCAGCACTTTGCTCACGCTTGCAATCCCAGCACTTGGGGAGGCCGAGGTGGCCAGATCATGAAGTCAAGAGATCCAGACCATCCTGGCCAACATGGTGAAACCCTGTCCCTACTAAAAATACAACAAAATTAGCTGGGAGTGGTGGCACGTGCCTGTAGTCCCAGCTACTCAGGAGGCTGAGGCAGGAGAATTGCTTTAACCTGGGAGGCGGAGGTTGCAGTAAGCCAAGATTGTGCCACTGCACTCCAGCCTGGCGACAGAGTGAGACTCCGTCTCAAATAAATAAATAAATAAATAAATAAAATAAAAAAGCCAAAACCCAGCAGTGTTGTCATTATGGTCTGCATCTCTGACTCTAAGTCAAATCCAGCTTCTGTGATATTTCTCCTGAGAAATGGAACCAGACGTCAGAAAATAAATGGGCCGGTTCCTCGGTAATGAGTATGTTCTCGGCAGACCCTGGGTTACTGGGCTTCATGTAAGACCAGACTGAGCTATTACTGCAGATAAATTTCTCTTGAAGGTAATACAACGGTCCCTAATAATGGTGCTGTTCCAAACGTTAACTGATGTGATCATGTCACTCCTCAGCTCAATAACCTTCAATGGCTCCCAGTCACTTAATAAAAAGTCCAAATTTCATAGTTTGGAATTCAGTGACCTGCACAAAGCCACGAGACACAAGACAGCAGAATGGCCTTTGATGTCAATCAATCAGGGAGGAATTTGCAACTCTACTCACAGCTACAGCTGGGTAAATATCAAATCTTTCTGAAGCCACTTGGATAATCAGGGCGCCTTCCCTATTAAGGGCTGCTGGTGAAATGAGACATTGAATGGAATGTACATGGCACAGTGTCCAGGACACAGTAAATGGTCAATACGTGATGGTGTTAGCTCCAGAAGTTATTGTTGATGACAATGACTCCCGTGCCCCTCCAGCCCACCTTTCTCTCTCCTCCCGGGTTTGCTCACACCCTCTGCTCTGGCCCGATGAACTATGGACTAGCCCACCGAATGCTGCATTCCCAGCCTCCAAGCTCTCCCTCACATTGCACCTATTCAATCCTTCCTGTCTAAACTCTCCCCTTCCTCCCAGGCTTACTCGAGTGCTTCCTGTTTTATGCAGTGTTCGTGGGTAGGATTCATGTCAGATTGACTTTGGTGTTTTTCAGCATGAACGAAAACCCTTGGATATAAGGGGTGTTCACAAATGTTGAGTGAATGAAGGAGGGAATGAATCAATGAATGAAAGCTTATGACTGTGTTTGGTGGAAGGGCACTGATGGGAGCCTGTAGGGGGAATAGATCAGGGAGGATCTGTGGGTTCCGAGGGCGCTAAGGTCTCATGTCATTGCTGCCAATCGTCCTGAATGAAAGGCAAGACTTCCTGGGTTTCTTGGTGAAGTGAGATGGGGAGGCCAACCCATTTTCTACAGTGTGATGTCTAATGAACTCTGTAAAGTGCTTCTATATGCACCAGCCCCTTAGTGATAGTTTCCTGAAGGTTAATATACTCTTCAACTCGGACATCCCTACACAAGAGGCCAGATGAACTCCCTCAGAGCCTGCTCGATTCTGAGCTCTTAGCTGAAGTTTTCTCCAGCTTTGAAAACCTGATAAAAAGTTGCAGTTGGCCCACAGCTCACAGCCTAATGCTCACGGTCCGCTGGGCCCACCAAGCCAGCAGGCCCCCATACAGTGCCTTTGTATGAACTGGATGGGGAAAAAAAAAAAAAACATCTTTTCCCCTGAGCCAGGGTGCATGGCTTGGCATGCAGGATATGGACTGGAAATCACACCTCACCACTTCCCTCAGCTTGAAGCCCCTTACATGGTACATACACACATACATACTCTCTATGTTAGGAAGAGAATGTGAAATTGGGGTGCTCTTTTGGGAATTACACATTCTGGGGGCTCAGCACAGGTGTTGCAACCAAGTAGTATGTAAAATATGAGGCTGGGCACAGTACCTCTTGCTCAGTCTTTCTTGAGCTAAAGAGCACTGGTCCAAGCCAAGTGTATACATATGCCTAAGACCACATCCAGCCCAGCCAAATTACTCAACATGCAGATGAACTTACGGAAATCTGTTATCAGAATCTTTCTCTATGAAACAGAATTATTATTATTATTATTATTTTTGAAAGAGCCTTACTCTGTCACCCAGGCTGGAGTGCAGTGGTGCGATCTCGGCTCACTGCAACCTCCAACTCCTGGGTTCAAGCAATTCTCCTGCCTCAGCCTCCTGAGTAGCTGGGATTACAGGCGCCCACCACCATGCCCAGCTAATTTTTGTAGTTTTAGTACAGATGGGGTTTCATCATGTTGGCCAGGTTAGTCTCGAACTCCTAACCTTGTGATCCGCCCGCCTTGGCCTCCCCAAGGGCTGGACTACAGGCATGAGCCACTGTGCCTGGCCTATGAAACAGGATTTTGATGGCATAGTCACTCTCCTTGGGGGCAGAGAGAGTCAGGGGGATTTGGGTGCACACGATTTGTATCTCCTTTTTTGCCATCAAAATGTTATGTTCCATAAAACCTGCAATAACGACATCACATATTCACCCACTGAATGATAGCTTTGTATTGATGCAACTCATCATTAGGGTCTGGGCTACAGAAGCAAGAATCAACCACAAAAGAACTAGACATCAGACAGTGGGCACTGCCTTTCTTTTGGGCTCATAGCCTTTTTTCAGTAAGGCCCACCCATGCTGTTTTCATCTGATGCTGGCTGTGTGGGACAGTTTTAATTCTACATTTCTATAACACATGTCCAATTCATTTTTTTCTCCCTACACAATCCCTATTTGGATTGGAAGAATTGTCTGGCCATCAGACCCGAGCCCCACAATACATTTGATGAGCTATGAACTGTAGTTCCTCCTCCTGCATCTCCCCCAAACCCCCACAAAAGACAGCAGCCAGCCTTCTGCCTGGAAAAGAATCTTCCTTTGGGCACTGCTATGCCGAGGAAATGGAAGAACGTGGGTGTGTATTGCTGAAGCCTGAGGCTGCCAAGCCACCCATGACTCAGAGGCGCTTCCTGGGGATCAGCATTGGCTTTTCCTCCACATGACTTAGGAATATTGAGTTAGTGCGATTTGAGTTCCCAGGCTCACCTCCAGTCCCCCTCTGCAGCAGCAGGGAAAAGGGGGAGCTTTCCTGTCCAGTGATCATGGAACCTGGGCACCTGTCCCCAACCCCAAAGGCACGATGTACCATCCCTTCACCCATCCCTGCCACTCCCTGCTCACTGGGGAGGTGACCTGAAATATTTAAGGGGGACTCCATGAGTTTGGGGGGTCTCAATTCAAACTCCTTCCTTCAAATCCAAACTTCAGGAAGCAGAGGAAAGATAGAGACACTGAAACTCCACATCCTTCTCATGACAGAGGAAATGAGCATCTGAAGGTGATTAATTGTCTTTATTGGAGGAAAACAGGAAGTCATCAATCTCATTATCATTATGATAGAAATCTTGATATGTATACATGATTGTCAAGGCAGAGAATCATTTGCTACATAGACCCATGAACAATTTTGCAGTGCCGCAAACCTATGTGGGTTAAACTTCTTGCAGAGTTTATTACATGCATGGAATAAATTCACAGTTTCCCTTCTTTTGGACAAACATGTTTTTATGGGAAAATTGAACCAATTGCAAGCCTGGTAATAGTAGATGCGGGGACATTCCTGGTTTTGATGTTGTAATTTTTTGGGAAGCATGCTCACTGTTGGGGGAGCTGAAAGAAGGGAGATTACATTATGTGTAGTGACAAAAGCCAATTGAGAGATTGTTCCAATGTTTATTCTGGACAGAGGGTACCTTTGAGGTCTTCTCACCTGAACGTGGGACTAAGATAAATGTTCTCTGAAACATGGCGCCCCATCTTTCGAAGCAAAGACTCTGCTGCATGCAATGTCGCTGCATTTCTGCCACCATTCGGACAGCATTTCATGTCCCTCTGATAGGGCCAAGTGCCCCGGGAAGGAGAGTGGCAGGTGTCAGGGCTGAGAGACAAACATCCGAGCTGATGTTCTTGTTCCTTTTTAGCTCTCTCGCAGCCTGGCTGCCAACCACGTCCCAGGGCCCCTGTGCCCTGAAGTGCAGGGCTTCCAGGAGAGCCTGGGAATCTGAATCTGTCTAGATTAAGATTTTCCTCCGAGAAGCAATTTAACTAGAGTTTGGGGTTTCTGAGCCCCTGCTGAAGTCTTATCTCTAAGAGTAAAACCAACTCCTCCTCATTTTCTTTTTTCCTGTCCATAAGAAAATAAAATCACCTTTAAAATAACATGGCAAATCATCAGAAGACATAATAATCGAATGAGAAGTTCCCCGGAGACAAAAAGGTTAAAAAACGGATATGGCGAATGCAGAAGCGGTGTTATAGTACAAAGGGTGAATGCAACCGTTTGTCCCTTTATACAGACACCGAGAAGCCATTCCACAGTTTGCTTTGTCCACAAAACCAGACTCGGCAGCCGCATGCTGAGCGTTTGGCTTCCAAATGCACAGCCTTTTTGGGTTTGCAAAAGCGGAGCTCCCAGAGCCACAAACTGAGCTGCTCCTGCTGGAGGTGGCGGGGAAGTCTGGGAAGGGCTGACTCCTTCCCACTGACTCTGGAGGCATCGGGAGGTGGCCGGGCCTCGGCCAGCATGCAGGACTGACTTCACAGTGGGGCTGGGGGCCCAGAGCTGCAGACCATGATGCCCCGGGACCACCGAACAGGTGCCAGGTGAGTGGGGCGTGGGCCCTTATCTTCCTCAGACCGCCTGCCTGCTCCCCAGAGTTGAGGTTGTCAAGCTAACTCATCTGCACACTCATTTTCTTGGAGTCTTCAGGAAAGAAACCCTCCTTTTAGGAGTCTGTTTGAGCTTTTCTATCTCCACATTTTCAATTCTGAACATCGAAAGACTGGAATATCTTTTGCAAATGTCAGGCACACCTGCAGCCCCAACCGAGGACCAGGTGCCCCTCAAAAGGGTGGTGGATCACATACAGGTATATACATCTTTTTTTTTTTTTTTTTTTTTTAACAAACTGAACAGTGTTTGGTCTGGAATGTGTTTAAGGAAAAGGCAAAGTTCGCAGAGTGTGGGTAGACAGAATAGGGAAGAAGTACAGTTTCAGAAGAACATGCAAAGGTTTCGTGCACTGGCTGAATTCAAGGACCTTCAATTAATTTGCCAGAAGTGATTGTGCAAACCTGGGAAAGAGGACATCTTACTTCTGTTTATGAAAAACGGGAGGAGCTTCCCTTTGCCCGCACTTGCCTTCCTTTCTCATATCCAAAGGAATCCCAGTCGTGTGCTTGTTAAATTCTGCGAAGCAGCGAGGGCTCTGGCTGAAGCTGCGGCAGTGGCCCTACTTCCACCTTCAGCCCTAGAGCAATGGTTCCAGCGTGGCCTCCCCAACGCGAAGACTCAATTCTGGCCAAGGTTCTGGGGGAGAGGGAGAGGTGAGGGGCCACGATGCTTTCAAAAATAAAGTCTACCTGCACTGGGATATCATCTTTCCTTTCTGTTTAAAAATGCTCATAAAATAGCAAGCCCCAGTGGGTTAATCAGGTTAAGCTGTCATTCCACAGGGGAGAGGATCAATCCACTTTCCAAAGGGGATCACCTGGGCTCCCCCCATTCCCCCCACCCCGTGTGCCTGGTGTTCTCGGCTTCTGTCCCTCCCACCTACGATTCATCCAGGGCATGATGGACACTAGGGTAGACAGATGAGTGGGATGAGTACGGGGTAGGTAAACCGAGTCCGGGGCTCCCTAGGCCAGATTCCTTTCATCCTACTACAGATATTTCCTATGAGCCCAGCCTTGGCCAGCATGGCCATCTTTTTTGAGACGGAGTCTTGCTCTGTCACCCAGGCTGGAGTGCAGTGGCACGATCTCGGCTCACTGCAACCTCTGCCTCCCGGGTTCAAGCGATTCTCCTGCCTCAGCCTCCCGAGTAGCTGGGATTACAGGCACGCACCACCATGCCCAGCTAATTTTTGTATTTTTAGTAGAAACAGGGTTTCACCATGTTGGCCAGAATGGTCTTGATCTCTTGACCTTGTGATCTGCCCGCCTCGCTCTCCCAAAGCGCTGGGATTACAGGCGTGAGCCACTGCGCCCTGTCCACTGTCCATCTTCTTTTGCTCGCTCTATCCTGACTGCCGGGGCCCTGGACACTACACAAAGAGCTAGCTGGAGAGTGAGACTCTCTCAAAGGCCAGCGGTGGCTCAGAGACTCTACACCGTTCTCAAGGTCAGATGCTAGAAGTGACCAGAATTGTGGCCATGGTCAAGAACGCAAAGCCACTCTTCCTTTTTTTAACTTTGTATGGCACGCTTTGCCATAGCTCTTTTCTTTTAAAAGAAGACCTGAAGGGGTAGAATGTTTTCTAGTCTCCGACAGAGGCAGGGGTAGGAGGAACTGGTGAAAATCAGCCACTGTGCACTGCCAGAGCCGTGCATGGTCCTGGGGGTTGCCATTTCTCTAACACAGCAAACCCCGTCTCTCCTCAAGGGCTTTGGTGGTCATTGAGCTTCTCCTAGGTGTGCCCTGCGCCTCTGCACCACTTCATTCTGAGGCTCCGGACCCGTGTGCCCGCTGGGAAGCAGAGCCGTAGAGAGGCAGACAGCTGCCCAGACTCCAGACTCCAAGGCCACCTCTGTGAAAAGGGCCAAGCTGCTGGCCTGTTGGTGCCCGCTCACTGTTTGTCTCAATGAATAGAAACTCCTCCTATTGCCTCACGTATGAGATGAAGATCCGGGAAGCCAGGGAGCCCAGACAGGCAGCTGAGGGAAAGGCCACTCCAGGCCACTACTTCAACATTGAATACTCCAAGTGAGGAAAAGAGAATCCACTTGCTCTGAGAAGGGATAGTGACCAAATGGGGGACTTGGGCTCAGGAAGGAAGCCTGTGATGGGGTCTACGCGTCCACCCTTAGCCTCAGCCCAGCACCCTGGGTGCATGTAGAAATGCTCAGCCTCTACAGGTGGACTCTGACCTTGGTGCGGGTCCTAGGACTCTGAGACCCCATTTGTCAGACCTTCACGAAAGGCACATTCTAGGTTCTCTTCCTGTTTTATAAGAAAACAAATCATACCAAGCGCAGTGCAAAGACAACCTCTTTTTAACATGAGAGCTCTCTCAAAAGCACAAGAGCGCCTCTCTTTCTCTGAAGCAATAGGAAATTAACCCAAGCCTGGTGGGATCAGGACAGTACAGGCTTCCTGATGTCATGCTCAACAGTTGACTCTTGGGCTGAAACCAGTCACTGTCTCCTCGCACGATGTTGTTGAGACCCGGCGTGTGACAGGCCAAGCATGGCCAAGAACTGACCCGAACAGCGAGGGGGGCACCTGCACCACGGCTCACCTTTCAGAGGTTCTGCACTTTTTGGGTGAGGGATACTTTCAAACTAAGTGCATATAACATGCACCACATGTATCTGCTCCTGAAAATACTTCAATCACCAGTAATGGAACTCAGCTTCAAATGCTGCTTTCTGAATGCAAATGGTTGTATATAGCACACAGCACAAAGGGCTATTCATCACTATTCATGTACTCATCCTAGGTACCAGATTCGGGTGCATTTTCAGCGCTTGCAGCCTTCTATTACTTTGTCATGCACTGTATGAACTCGAATGTTTCCAAGACACTTCTTAGTAAGCAACCGCCTAGTTCTCCAATACTGCTTATAATATTCATTCATTGCATGGCCAACTCAGGTGACACTTGCTTCTTAACTGGGTCTAATGTCATCTTATAGACCTTTCCAGGGTTTTTAGATTTTGCAGAGTGACAGCTTGATTTTTCACCCTGTGAGCATGCGTGGCAGATGCCATGCAGAATTCCTGCCAAGCAGTGGAGTGCCTGTGAAGTGTGCGGGGACAGGGTAGACCAGCTGCCTGTCTTCCCAACTGCTCTTCTCTGTGCCTGCACTGCCATTCTCAGGGAGCAGGATGGAGCTGCTGTGCCTAATAACATTGTGTGTGTGTGTGTGTGTGTGTGTGTGTGTGTGTGTGTTTATTGAGAGGGTGGGGGGGCATCACTCAACATTCAGCCTGTACATACTCAAAGGTGTAGAAGTGACAAAGATGACTCAACCAACAGGACTTCCCATGACTGGCCAGCCAGAGGAAGAGGGCATGAGGACACAGCCAGCAGCGTTACTGGGTCGTGATGACGCAGACCTGCCGGGACACCCCCGTGGGCTCGAGGCATTGGATGGGCCTGAGAGCTGAAGCAGGGGCACTTGCAGGAATGGCACTTGAAGCCACCTGCCTGGCTTTACAGGGCAGCCTCCTGGAAGCCTCCATGAAACGCAGCTTTCCCTGGGCCACACACTGCCTGGCTCCACAAAGGCGAACAACACAGCCTGCTTTGCCCCGGATATTCCTGGTTTTGGCATTAAATGTCCACAGCCTGAGAAATCCTTCAGTCTCGGGCAAATGGGACGTTTGGTGACCCTACCACCATGTATCTTTGATTTTAGACTCCCCTGACCAATGGGAGGGCTGCAAGCACTGGCTGGGCCTGGCGGAGGTGGTCTTTGGTCATCTCTGTGGTGGCTGAAGTCCCATTAGCCTGGCAGGGCCCCCTCTCCTTACCACCAGAAATGGATCCTTTCCCAAGGCTGCTTCCCTCCCTTCCTTCCCTTGGAAAACATTCATGTGAGAAGAGGGTAAAAATGTGGAGAAAGAACTTTGTGTTGGAGGCCACGTGAAGTGTAAGATTAGAAATGCATTTTTTTAAAAACCACAGAGAAAGAGATGAATTTTAACACTGCATAGCTGAGCTTTCATCTGTTAGCTCTCGTGAGAAATGAGGGTTGTGTGTGGGCCCACTTTCAGCAACATGGCAGCTGGTTCCTTTTGCAAGGGAGGGTCCTGCATCTCTGCAGTGTGGGCATCTCACTCACAGCAAGTCTGGCCTGTGAAGCTGAGCCCTGCGTCTCGGGGGAGCAGGCTTATTTCTGGTTGCTGATGGCAAGAGGCCTCTAGGGTCTCTGGTGGGTGTGGGTTCTGCTGGATGGGTTGCCAGCAAAGGCTCTGTGCAGATTCTCTACCAAAGTCCCCCGCAGAGAAGAGAGCCTCGCAGAACTGAGGGGCCCCTCCTCCTGGGGAAGGGGAGAGAAACAGAAGGAGTAGAGGTGAAGGGCACTCTTAGCCTTGGAGACAGATTCATGATCCTCTTGTTAGAATTTTTTTTTTTTTTTTTGAGACAGAGTCTTGCTCTGTCACCCAGGCTGGAGTGCAGTGGCACGATCTCAGCTCACTGCAACCTCCGTCTCCCGGGTTCAAGCAATTCTCCTGCCTCAGCCTCCCGAGTAGCCGGGACTACAGGTGTGTGCCACCACGCCCGGCTAATTTTTTGTATTTTTAGTAGACGTGGGGTTTCACCATGTTGGCCAGGATGGCCTTGATCTCCTGACCTTGTGATCCGCCCGACTTGGCCTCCCAACGTGCTGGGATTACAGGCATGAGTCATTGCACCCGGCTGATCCTCTTATTAGAATTTTAAAAAATACCTTTAAATTCTCCTTTGAGGAAAAACAAATCTCTTAAAGGTTAACATAAAACTACTATTAAAGAGGAAAAGATATAGGTCATGTAACTTAGAGATACAAAGGACATACTTCTTAAAAGGAAAAACAAACCCTAATGCACAATATTTACCAATATTTAAATAATCCAGTTGAAACCTTTTTTTTTTTGTCATTAATGAAAAAACACACCATAGACGGTTACCTACACTGAGAAGAGTGGAAACGATGGTGTTAGGGGAGAGGAATAAGAAGGTCCGTTCAGTTAGAGCTTTGCAAGATTCGTATATACAGCACCAGATCCTATGAAATCAGCGCCCCTCGAGTCAGTACAGTTTGTGAGAAATGAACACTTCAGAATTGCAGTAGAAAATATGGCCATAAAAAAACTTCGGTCTTCCAGTCCTATGCAGGAAGGGGCACCATGCAAGGTGGGGTCTCGCTGGAGTGGCTCGCGGCTCTGGCGACCCTGGGGCTCCCCTTCCCCAGCCCCGACCCCGGGCCCCACCTCCAGGGCCAGTCACTTGCTTCCAGAGTGCACTGCCGTCACAGTGGTGGGCCTGGGTCTCCGCTCGGCTCCAACTCCTGAGACCCCCGACGAAGAAGAAATGAAACTACAGAGCGTGGAAGGTGCCAGACCTGCAGGGAACAGCAGAAGTGGGCTTCAGAGTTTCAGAGGTAAATTCTCACCCTGCTTCCCACTGCCAGGTGTCAGAGGGGCTGGGTTTATGGTGGGGGGCGGGGGGGCCCAATTTTTTTTTTTTCTTGAGATGGAGTTTCACTCTTTTCACCAGGCTGGAGTGCAGTGGCACGATCTCGGGTCACTGCAACCTCTGCCTGCCAGGTTCAAGCGATTCTCGTGCTTCAGCCTCCCGAGTAGCTGGGATTACAGGGGCTCACCACCACGCCGGGCTAATTTTTGTATTTTTAGTAGAGATGGGGTTTCACCATGTTGGCCAGGCTGGTCTCGAACTCCTGACCTCAGGTGATCCACCCACCTCAGCCTCCCAAAGTGCTGGGATTACGGGTGTGAGCCACCGCGCCCAACTTGCGGGGACCCAAATTTTTACCCGTGTGACTATTTTTACCTACCTGTGGGAAAGCCTTTGCAATGGGTTCAAAATGCTTTATTCTTAGACCTCTCCTCTCCTTTTTTTTGGTGTAATTTTAACTGCTTTGTGTTTGAAAACAACATGGTTTCACCACTGTGGTACAACAGGTTCCATGTACTGAGCACTTAATATGTAGCAGGCACCAGGCTAGTGTTGACTACATACTGTCATCATACGAATTGTCCACTTCTTATAATAGCTCTGTAAAGCAGGTATTTTAAGAAGGAATAAAGAATGATACTACCTTCCTACCCTTGGTTGGTGTGTTGTGTACACTCTTGGCTAGAAAGCATTTTGTGACGCAGAGCACTTTGAAATAAGGGTATGGTGGCTGACGCCTGTAATCTCAACACTTTGGGAGGCCAAGGTGGGTGGATCGCTTGAGTCTCAGGAGTTCCAGACCAGCTGGGGCAACCCTGGGTCTACAAAAAATACAAAAATTAGCTGCGCACGGTGGTACATGCCTGTTGTCCCAGCTACTCAGAAGGCTGAGACAGGAGGATTACTTGAGCCTAGGAGGTTGAGGTTGCAGTGAGCCGTGACTGTGCCACTGCACTCCAGTCTGGGTGACAGAGAGTGAGAGAAAGAGAGAAGAAGAGAGAGGAGAGAGGAGAAAGGAGAGGGGAGAAGGGAGAGAGGAGAGAGGAGAGGGGAGAGGGGAGAGAGGAGAGAGGAGAGAGGAGGGGAGGGGAAGGCAGGGCAAGGCAGGGCAGGGCAGGGCAGGTTAGTGGAGGAGAGGAGAAGAAAGACAAGAAAAGAAAGAAAGAAAGAAAGAAAGAAAGAAAGAAAGAAAGAAAGAAAGAAAGAAAGAAAGAAAGAAAGACAGACAGACAAAGAAAGAAAAGAAAGAAAGAAAGAAGGAAGGAAGGAAGGAAAGAAAGAGAGAAAGAAGAAAGGAAGGAAGGAAGGGAAAGAAAAAGAAAGAAAGAGAAAGAAAGAAAGGAAGAAGGAAGGAAGGAAGAGAAGAGAGAGAAAGAAAGAAAAGAAAAAGAGAGAGAAAGAAAGAAAGAAAAAGAAAAGAAAGAGAAGGAAAGAAAAAGAAAGAAAGAAGGGAGGGAGGGAAGGAAAGAAGGAAGGAAAGGAAGGAGGGAGGCAGGGAGGGAAAAGAAAAGAGAGAAGAGAGAGGGAAGGAGGGAAATAAAGGAGGGAAAGAAAAAGAAAGGAAAGCAAAAAGAAAAGAAAAAAGAGCAAGAATAGAGATGTTCACCTATTCCTGTGTGAGCTCAGCAGTCCCTGGCCTAGTGGAGCTCCTCAGAGGCTGCGCTGAAGCCCTCCCCCAGAGGATGTGCAGGCATCAAAAGCCTTGATATGAGAGGCCTCAGCCGCCACTGAGCTTGTTGGTGCAGGCCCCCAGGGAGTCTGTGTGCTCAGACATGGGGACAAACAGCCATACAAGGAGTGCTCCCGACGGGCTTTGCTGCCGATGCCAGTGTATGAATCTGTAAAGAAGGGATCCATCGTGGGGTTCCCTTTGACCAGAGGGTGGAAAAGATTCAGGGTGAAAGGGGAGCTATGGTATGTCAGGGGACACTCACAGAGATTTCTTGGGAAAATTTAAGGGCTGGATGGTCCCAAATGAGATGGGAAGATTCCTTAGAGAGGAAGGGAATCCTTTTCTGAGCCAAATGGGAAGGAGCATGATGCCCAGGGTGAGACCAGGCTGCAGGGCTGCTCCATGGTTAGGGAGATTAGGGCCACTGCTCTGATGTGGAGAGGACCCATGGGAAGGGCCAAACGGGATTATTTCCACAGAGAGAGGAGCAGTTGGGGAGAGAGATAAGGAGAGAGTAAGTGTGCCTTCGATGATGGAATAGCCCATGCAAAGACGAAGGACAATGAAATACTATTACTTTTATTGCAAAGTCAATGCACTTCACATAAATGAGCTCAAATTATCATTGTCTGCATCCAAAATATATACATTATGGAAGTCAATGGCAGGAGGCTGTCCTGAGGCTCTGCTCTCCCTTCCTCAATCCGCAAGAGTGACTGTACAATGAGAGGTAAATCAGAGGGAAGGATGGAGATGAGAAAGAGTCCAGGCCTTTATCCAGACAGACATGGCTGCGAGGACTTGAGCCCTGGATTCCTCAACTGTAAATGGAAATAGCAATACCTAGGGTTCCACGAGTGTTCAATGATTTTTCTTTTTTTTTTTTGAGAGGGAGTCTCAATCTGTCACCCAGGCTGGAGTGCAGTGGTGTGATCTCAGCTCATTGCAACCTCCGCTTCCTGGGTTCAAGTGATTCTCCTGCCTCAGCCTCCCAAGTAGCTGACATTACAGGTGCTCGCCACCACACCCGGCTAATTTTTATATTTTAGTAGAGATGGGGTTTCACCATGTTGGTCAGGCTGGTCTTAAAACTCCTGAACTCAAACAGTCCTCCTGCCTCAGCCTCCCAAAGTGTTGGGATTACAGGCGTGAGCCACTGCACCCAGCCCAGTGATTACATGTTAAAAAAAGTCCTAGGGTCGCATGACATGGGATTAAGTATAGAAAGCGCCTGGCAAACAGGAGGTGCTCGGCAGATGCCGGCTCCCTCCTCTCCACCCCAGGCTCGTCTTCAGTGTCAGCTGAGGGATTCTGGTTTTGCTACATACGCACAGTCTTTTTGGCTGGCCAAACTGAGGCTGCTCGAAACACTTGCATTTGAACTGTCCAGGCTGCTGCCGAGGTGTAGTTTTCTCATATGTCTGACGACGGCCGTGGCATTAAATGCTTGCTGAAATTTCAGAAAGGAAAAAAGCAGACAAATATTTCAGCTAATCGGAAAAGACTCTAACTGTGTTCTCTTGTTTATCACATTAGCCTAAGCATTTCAAACTCCTTACATCATTCTCATGCTACTCAAGAAGGAAAGCTTATGTTGTCCCTTCTTCTAAAAGTGCACTGATTTATTAACCCCTTTCCCCAACTAAATATTTTAGAGACTTAAAATAGTTTTCTTCTGACATCATAAATACATAGAATAAACATAAACCAATTCTCTCTGTAATTTAAGAGATGTGGCCTTTAGAATAAAAGGCATATTATAATACCTTAAAAATGTGAGATTTGAAAATAGTTTTTATTTTCCTAGTATTGGTACTTTTGTCTGAAAGATTTAGGTTGGTGCAAAAGTAATGGCAATTTTAATGGAAGAAACCACAACTACTTTTGCGCCAACCTAATGATAGCATGTCCTATGAATACAGCAGGCCAGCAAAATTAATTTTGTTTCCGTCTCATCTTTCACCATTGGCCCTCATGGCAAAATAGCTAGCTCTGAATTGCCATTGCTGATTGGAACACGGAGGGGAGGTCAGGTAATCAAGAGATTAGGAAGTCAGGTAATCAACAGATGATCACAAAACCTCCATGGTTTAAATCTGTCAAACTTTTATCAGGAAACATTGATGAGTACAACTCAGATTTCCTGTTTTTTCCCCCTCCATATCGCTTTAATAAAAGTCAGCTATTCAAAGTTCTAGCAAGGTGAAGAAAGACAAGGGTGATGTTGGTTAAGAAACAGCAGATGAGGAAGAGCTGGCACTATTGCTGTCTTTGATCACAGAGGGGAAGTGTTGAATTGCACACTCCATCCCTCTTACACCATAATATTCCCTCTGAGTCTTTATTACTTGCAGTTAAAATTAGCAAAATTATTCAGGTGAGGTTCTGGGGATTTCAGAAATGCTCAGATTGGAGGGCCAGTGTCACGAGGGGGTTAATCCACGGGGAATTTCATATACTCCACACTTACTCTCCATTTGCTCTTGGCAAAGTTTTTCCGGATCTGGGCGCTGACGGACTCGTGGATGTTTTTGTTGAGGGCTGTGTCACCAGCGATCCTGAAACAGAGGCAAAGGTGCTGCTCTGAAGTGCTTCTTCTGGGCCCTGACACTGCGTCCCATAAAGGGGAGTCTTACCTAGCCTCAGGAGAGCCGAGGCTCAGTCGTGGACAGGGTGGCTGGCCGCTGCCCTTCCAGGCTGCTGATGTCATCACCTGGCCATTCCCTAAACCCACCCATTCTAACCCCTCACCACAAAGTCCTATTCCAGCTTCTACACTCCGCACCCTCCCCAGACCCGCCAGCGCCCTCCTGGTTGACTACTCCCCGGCTCTCATTTTTTCCTTCTTTGACCCCAATTCCTGCAACATCAGAATCCACAGTGACAATGTCTCCCATCCTTCTCCCTCCCCCTCATCCCCTCTGCCTCCACACAAGCTTTTGAGCCACCATGCGCCACCTCCAAGGTCTCACACTTGTTCCCCAACTGGTCTCAGCACCAGACCCCTTCCCGGCCTTGCTTCCCAGCTTCCTCAGACCCGAGGTCCCTCCTCTCTGTCTTCCCCAGGGGCGCTGCTCCCAGGGCACCACTCACACCCGTGGGCTCTCAGCTTCATCTCAGCAGAGCTGAGCCTGCCACATTCTGCTTGGCAACACCTGTGAGCCCATGCCCCCCACCCACTCTATGCTGGGTGACAGGATTCCCAGCTCCACTCAACCCCGCCTGGTACATCCTCCACCCTTGCATCTCCTTGAAATTCTTAGAACTTCAAGGACGGCGTCCACCCTGCATTCACCTGAGCCCTTGGCAGCCCCGGGTAAGCTTTAACTCTAGCTGATTCCTGAGCCTGCCATGAGCAGGGAAGAACTTAGGTTTGCTCCTGGCCTTCTCTCCTGACAGTACCCTCCATCCCACTCTTTCCTCCCTCTGCTGTCTCTTTCTTGGGTCTTACAGCCTCCTCCTCTCTCTCGGCTCACAATATCCAGGCTGAGAATTACCTGGCAGTCTCCCAGCTCTTCCTTCCCTCATGCATGCCCTTCTCGATCACAGCCTCCTCCTCTCCCTACAGGCATCCACTTGGCCTTTTCCCCCTGGGCCTCTGTGCTCTGCTCCCAGTCTTTCCTGGGCTTTGATCCTTCCCTCTTCCCTTCCCTCTAGCACCAAACTATTCAATTCTGGGTTACTATCTGATGGCTAAGAAAGAGTTTCATGAATCTTGCAGAAGTTAAGGGGATCAGAGTCAGAAACCAACGTTATGGGCTGGAAGGTAACTGGTAAGGGAGAAAACCTCTCACCCCTGAGACACTGACTGCCCTGGACATTAAACAGCCCAGACACGGCAACCATCACTTCCAACTACTTCAGGAGATGAAAGGAACACGGCTCAGGCATATTCAGACAAGAGAGAATACCAGCCAGACTTTCTTTCCCATCAGGACTGCAAACAGGGTGGACAGAGTCGATATAAAATTGGGGCCAGGCTGGCCTAAGTTTAGAATCCAGGCTGATGTTCCCAGCTCAAAACAACTCTCCCCCACCACCTTTTCCCAGCAGGGCTGCAAACACACAGCCAAGGGGACGTGCAGGAAATATCTCAAGCAAACTAGGTTTTCATTTCCAACAACTGTCAACTGCCTTCCTTCCCAGACACATATTCCTGAAACAGAAATAGAGTATTTGAATGGGCAACTACATCTGAAACAAGAGTAACAAGACAAAGAGGATGAGAGAATGAGAGACATCTTTATTAAGCTTTTTTCCCCGGAGAGCCCAAGGGAGTGATTCCTCCTGGACCCTGTTGAAAAGCTACATCCTCAGAAAAGGATGCCAGTCCAAGCTTGCAGCGGCCAGCTCTTTCTTAGAAACGACAAGGCCAAAGTGGTGGGGAGTCTGGAATTCCTCAGGCTGAGCACTGCTGCAGGGCAGAGCCAGGCTCCAAAGCAAACAGGCTGGTGCTGGGGTCGGGGAGACTCTGGGCCTCGGGGTCCACCTGCTTGTCCGCAGTGTGGTCTCAGACCCCACGGCCCGTGGCCTGCTGCCTATACTCTGTGTCCCATGCTATATCTGTGGGTTCACATGGGCCCAGATGTAAGAAAACAGAAGCTTCTAATTATTTTAGGAATGCTTCATGCTCATTTCCCACAGTCCTGGGCTGTGCAGCAGTGGGGAGTCCAGCTGGGCAGAAGGTGGCCCCCAGGCTCTGTGTTACACGGTCTTCCTGCAGCAGTGCAGCCATGTCAGGCCACAATAGTGCACCGTGGCCCTCCCCAAGTACAAGCCGCAATGACAACGGTGACCCATGCTCATGATAAGCTAGGAAACTTGCAATAGTAACATCCGGACAGCGCTGATGCTCAGTGTCACTAACTTCAGCACGCTTCGCCAACAAAACCAGAGGCATGGAGTCTAAACATTGGAAGGGATCCTAGTGGTCAATGCTTCTGATACAGCAGGATTGCTTTATCAATCCATATACACACACTTAGGCAACGCTATGGGTGAACACATTTCATTCATGTCTCCCTTGCTTTTCTGTTTTCTTTTTTTTTTGAGACAGAGTCTTGCTCTGTCGCCCAGGCTGGAGGGCAGTGGTGCGATCTCGACTCACTGCAACCTCCGCCTTTGGGTTCAAGTGATTCTCCTGCCTCAGCCTCTTGAGTAGCTGGGATTACAGGCATGCACCACCATGCCAGGCTCATTTTTGTGTTTTTAATAGAGATGGGGTTTCACCATATTGGCCAGGCTGGTCTTGAACTCCTGACCTCCAGCGATCAGCCTGCCTTGGCCTCCCAAAGTGCTGGGATTACAGGCATGAGCCACCACACCCGGCCAGCTTTCTGGTTTTAATACCTACAAGAACAATGCAGATAGCATTTACGTAATCACACCTTTTACAGCCTGTCTCACTATCCACCACTCACGGACCACAGCCTAGTCTCCCCTGCCTTTCGTGGTTTTGTGTTTTGTGTGTGGTCTCTTCTACCTTCCTGGCTCTGAGTCTGCGCTTTTCTAGCCACCTGCTCAAGATGGGCCTGGTGGTGCCTGGTGTGTACCCGGGACAGCACTTGCCAGTCCTGGGCCACCTCCCAATTCCTACAGCCAACCGGAGCTCTGGTGTCTGGAGCCCAGAAGATGGGAGCGGGGGTTCGGCGAACACTCAGGAATGTGAACTTGGCTACTTGGCTAGGCCACGGTACCCAGATATTTGGCCAAATACTAGCCTGATATTGCTGGGAAAGTATTTTTTAGATGAGATGAACATTTCAATCAGTAGACTTTGAGTCAAACCGACTAGAGTCCATGCCATGGGTGGGCCTCGTTCAATCAGTCGACGGCCCTCATGAAAAACAGGAAGAGGAACTGCTGTCTCCAGTCTGCCTTCGGACTCGAGCTGCAACATCAGCTCTTCCCTGGGTCTCCAGCCTGCTGCCCTGGCCTGCAAATTTTTGATTTGCCGGTCCCCACAATTGCAGGAAACAGGCTTAAATCCTTAAAATAAATTAATCTCTCTCTCTCAGCGTCTCTTCTTATCACTTCAGTTTGCTTATCAATGAGCCTAGAGATGAATGCTCAGAACCACTGAGCTGGAGGAATGAGCTCTGGCCAGGGCTGCCCTGTAACAGGGCCTGGGTTCCCATCCTGGCCCTGGCCATTCCCTACACTGTGGCCATCAGTCGGCAGCCTGTTGGGACCTGAGCACACACCACAGAGAGAACAGCAATGCTCAGTGAAAGGGGCGGGAGCCATCTGCTAAGAGGCCGGCTGCCTCCATCTGCTAAGAGGCCGGCTGCCTTCCAAGGGGGAGCTCTGAAAAGACCCCTCTCCTGTCTGAAGTGGTCTGTTTGGGGGCTAAGGAAGGTGTCCATGATTGCCAAGGCCTCCCTCGCCCTCGGTGGCCCTGCTGAAGTCAGAAGAGCAAGTGTGGAATAAGAGATGATGCTCTCGGGGTGTCAGGGATGTGCGGAGACCACAGCTTCCAGAATGCTGCCGCTGATGAGGAGGGGCCGCCTGGAGGAATGACTCCATATTCTGCCAGCTCTCACCTGAATCTGTGTTCTACTTTGCCCAGGCAATGTTACATAAAAGAGAGAAGTATATCATAAATGCAGGCAAGCGAGAGTTTCAGCAATGCTTGGGTCAAGTGCATTAGTTTTCATCATTTTCCAGGGTTTGACTTATTGGGAGGGTTAAAATGTACTGTAGGCCGGGCATGGTGGCTCACGCCTGTAATCCCAGCACTTTGGGATCACAAGGTTAGGAGATCGAGACCATCCTGGCCAACATGGTGAAACCCCATCTCTACTAAAAATACAAAAATTAGCTGGATGTGGTGGTGGACACCTGCAATCCCAGCTACTTGGGAGGCTGAGGCAGGAGAATCGTTTGAACCCGGGAAGCGGAGGTTGCAGTGAGCCGAGATCGCGCCACCGCACTCTAGCCTGGCGACAGAGTGAGGCTCCCACCACCTCCGGTGCAGCGTGGCCCAGGCTGAACTCACTCCTCCAAGCCTGCCCCTCCTCCTAGCACAATCTTCCCCCGAGTCCCGTAAGTTGGAAACTTGGGAATAATCCTAGACCCTTCTCTTCCTTACCTCACTCTGCCACTGCTCTGCCCAATGCCCATGGCTTCTCCGTCCCTGACAGTCACTCACAGTCCTCCCTGCCCCACTCCATCCCTGCCACGCTGCCCCGCGCAGGCCACTGTCACCCTCCTCTGGGCCAGCCCCCTTTCCGCCTCTAGGCTGCACCTCTGGCCACGCTCCCACACTCCATCTCCCACCAGATTGGGTTGTCTAAAATCAAACCTCAGCACCCTGCCTAACAGATGTCAGGGACCCCACTGCCCAAAGGGAAAGGTATAAATTCCTTGGTAGAGTCATCAATTAATGGCAGCCTGTAGGTATCACAGATGTGCAACGCTTCTTCTTTGTCACATGTATTATCTCACGTAACCCCTTGAAAAGTCCTGCGGGGTCCGTATTATTGTTATTCATGATCTGATTCTCCAGGGGCAGCCCAAAGGGCTGAGGAGCTCATCCACACGGGCAGTGAGTGGTGAAGCCAGGACTTAAGAGCCGAGCAGGCCAGGCCAGGCCCCTGCCCTGCCTGCCAGTTCCTGCCCTCCTTCCCAGTCTCATTTCCTGTCTCCTGCGTCCTCTCCTACTCTGGAATACCATGTGTTCAGGGCACCAGGAACGCACATGCAGTTTTAAGCTCCCGTGTTGTATGCCCAGACGCTCATCTGCCTGGAATTCCCTCCTCTTCCCGCTGGCCTGGGGCAAGCCTTCTCATGGTGTGGCACTCAGCAGGGCCTCCACCTCCTGCTGGGCCCTCTGTGCCCCTCTCCCAGCCTCCTCGGGAAAACTGACCTCTCCCTTCTTTGTTTTTTCCAAAATGTTTGGTGAAGGAGAGAGCAGGTGTTAACTGGCCTTTTTCCTGCCTTCTACAGAGCAAGTATGGATTACCAACAAGCACTAGGCTCACATCCCTCCCTCTTTTATTGAGGTCATTTTTATTCTTTATAAGATAAATCTCAAAAGTCTTACAGCTTTAAAGGCCTAATATGTTTATAAAGTAAGAAAACCTTTATTACCTTTATCGTCGCATACTTTGACTACTGCCCAAAGTGACTTAAACAAAATCAAGACGATACACAATCACAACTGTCCACTTCTTCAGAATGTTCTTTCCTTCTCCCCCAAGCCTTTCCTTTCTTCCCCTTTTCTTCTCCTTCCAGTGTGATGGTGAAGGGAATTCATTTTGGAATCAGATAGTTTTGGCTGGAATCCTGGCTTTGCTATTAGCTAGCTGTGTAGTCTCGGCTAAGTTAATTTACCTTATTTTTTTTTTTTTTGGGACAGAGTCTCGCTCTGTGGCCCAGGCTGGAGTGCAGTGGCACCAACTTGGCTCACTGCAAGCTCCGCCTCCTGGATTCAAGTGATTTCCAGGCCTCAGCCTCCCCAGTAGCTGGGATTACAGGCACACACCACCGTGTCCGGCTAATTTTTGTATTTTTAGTAGACACGGGGTTTCACCATGTTGGCCAGGCTGGTCTCGAACTCCTAACCTCAAGTGACCTACCCGCCTTGGCCTCCCAAAGTGCTGGGATTACAGGCATAAGCCACCACTCCCGGCCATCTCTCTATTTCTTTATCTCTGAAATGAAAATACAACTTCACAGGGTTATTATAAAGGAAAAAAAGAAGACAATACATTAGAGCAATTAGCCCAGTGCTGGAATATAATAGAGACTCAATAAATGATAGGTGTTATACACTGAAATACTGTGAAATGGGGTCAGGACATTGTCTGTGAGCAGGTCCCCTTTAGAAGGCTGACCAGCACACAAGACCCCAGGGGAAATGCTACAGAGGATGGCGGGGCACACAGGGGGATGGTTTTCTGGAGTAATTTTTAGGGGGATTTTCTCCTGATCTCAAGGTTCTGTCCATTTATTTTCATTATCTTTGGTATTTTACGACTCTTGGCATTTGTTTCACAATGGATGCTCGTGGTGCTTACATAACAATCACTACAGGCCAGCGCGGTGGCTCACACCTGTAATCCCAGCACTTTGGGAGGCCGAAACAGGTGGATCACCTGAGGTCAGGAGTTTGAGACCACCCTGGCCAACATGGCGAAACCCTGTCTCTACTAAAAATACAAAAAATTAGCTGGGCATGGTGGTGCCTGTTAATCACAGCTACTTGCGGGGCTGAGGCAGGAGAATCCCTTGAATACAGGAGGCGGAGGCTGCAGTGAGCCGAGACTGCCCCACTGCACTCCAGCCTGGGTGACGGAGACTCCATCTCAAAAAAACAAAACAAAACAAAACAATAGCTACAATTAACTAAGCATTTCTGATGGACCAGAGGGTTTCTGTGCTAAACCCTCTACATGCATTATCTCCGGTATTTCTTATGTCAGCCCTGCAAATTAGGTATTGTTATTCTCATTTTAACAATGAGGAAACAGAGGCTCACAAAAGTCAAGTGTAAACCTAGCATCGCAGCTAGCTGATAGTGAAGCTGGTTTCTAAATTAGTGGCACAAAAGCAAGGTAGCCTCACGCCCACTGCTGAAAATGTGTAGAATGCCATCAACTCTCAATTAGTCCCTCTCGAGTTGAAGAAACACAAATTCGAAAAGCATCTTAAAAGGAAAAAAATATGTAACTTCATTTAACTAATGAGTAATAAACTCAAGGAATAAAATTCCGATTGTAATGCCTCATTGGGCAATTATCTTCAATATCTTTAAAGACTTTCTATGAAATGCAAAAGCAGCTATCTTTTGCATACTGATGTGGTTTGGCTCTGTCCCCACCCAAATCTCATCTTGAATTCCCACGTGTTGTGGGAGGGACCTGGTGGGAGGTAATTGAATCACAGAGGCAAGTCTTTCCCGTGCTGTTCTCGTGACAGTGAATAAGTCTCTCATGAGATCTGATGATTTTGTAGAGGAGTGTTCCCCTGCACAAGCTCTCTCTTTTTGCCTGCTCCCATCCATGTAAGATATGACTTGCTACTCCTTGCCTTCCACCACGATTGTGAGGCCTCCCCAGCCACGTGGAACTGTGAGTCCAATGAAACCTCCTCCTTTTGTAAATTGCCCAGTCTCGGGTATGTCTTTTTTTTTTTTTTTTTTTTTTTTGAGACAGAGTTTTGCTCTTGTTGCCCAAGCTGGAGTGCAATGGTGCGATCTCAGCTCACTGCAACCTTCGCCTCCCGAGTTCAAGCGATTGTCCTGACTCAGCCTTGCGAGTAGCTGGGATTACAGGCGCGCGCCACCATGCCCAGCTAATTTTTTTTGTATTTTTAGTAGAAATGGGGTTTCACCATGTTAGCCAGGCTGGTCTCGAACACCTGACCTTGTGATCCACCCACCTCAGCCTCCCAAAGTGCTGGGATTACAGGCATGAGCCACCATGCCTGGCCTCTGGTATGTCTTTATCAGCAGCGTGAAAAAGGACGAATACACATACTAACTTCTCATGGTGCTTCCAGAAGCTGTGTCCTGGGGGCACAAGAGTTCAAATGTTGGCTTGGGGAGAGGAGGAAAGTCACTGGCCAGAATGAGATGAAATTTGTAATAATCCTGTGTGGATTTCATAAATGACAACGGCCAACAGGAAGTTTCGTGCCCCCCCCAGATGGCATTAAATGGCACGGTCTGCTGAGCGGGTGCATTTCCTTACCATGGGTGCCGAGCTGCCTGCTCACACGTGTATCTTTTATTCGGGTCCTTCTCCATCAGGTTCCGAATGAAGTCTTTTGCTGTTCAAAAAGAAGGCACAAGGGAAGGAATCACTTTGCGACTTGAGATGTGACAATATGATCCCACCAGGTCTTCAGGAGGAGCGTGTGTAGCATGAAAAATATGAGACCAGCCCTCCACAGAGACTACTGTACCTTGGACACAAAGGCACCAGCGTGTGGGGAAAAGGAAAGCCAGGACTTGGCACTCTAGGGTGGCCCAGCAGTGAGGAGGTGGCCTGGGACCCTGACTTCCAGCTCCAAGGCCCTTACCTCTAGTGGCTAGTGATACCTTTGGTTGAGAGAAGAGAAGAAATATCTTTGTTATCATGTGCCTCTAATTAGTCCATCACTGCCTTAGAGAACTGTTTTGGTGACATCATCTCCATGTGTTAAATGTGGCTGATTCAACTAAACCTACTGAGCACCTGCTCAGCCCATCAGGTCCTGGGCTAGGTGCTGTGGATATCAAGTCCCCAGAAAGCACCATGTGTGGCCTACTTGGGCTATTACAAACCCTGGAGCAGAAAACTGCAATGCAGTGAGCTGTGCCCTGCTGGGGGAAGTGGGGGAGTAGTTGGCAGCCCAGGAGAGGGGATGGCCCAGAAGACCCTGGGAAAGTGAGGGGCTGGGTGGCAGAACTGATGACATCATGGGTCAGGCCCCAAACCTGCTGCACTGCAGGGTGCGGCCCCTCAATGCCCAAAGGACTGGGCTTCTGGGGGAAGGCTGTGCTCCTCTGAGCTCAGAAGGAAAATACTTCCCATGTGGCTCTTTCCCGCGAGCCTTGTACAACTATACTCCAGGCCCAGGTTTCCAAATGCTGAAGATGAAACCAAGGCATTTCCACTTAGGATGAAGTAACACAAATAATAACATGCTCTCTTTGAATAGCTCACGGAGACTAGAACGCATTGTCCCATTCATGATCTCATTTCATCCTTCTGCTATGCTCTGTGGTAGAGATGGAATATTATTACCTGCCTCATCTTACCAGCGAGAAAACTGAGGCTTAGAGAGATTTCATTAATTTACACAGGCCTTGGTTTTGATCTTTTTCCCTGAGGAAGGAACAGTGAACTTCCCTAGGAACGTTTCAGAGTGGCATTTCAAATGCCGGCTCTGCCCCTTACTAGTTGTATGATTTTGGTCAAGTTATTTCACCTTCTGGGGCCTCGGTTTCCTCGTCTGTCAAATGGGGTTAACAGTTAATACCCGCCTGACAGGCTGTCCTGAGGACTGAGTGAGTTAGCACACATACAGAGCATCTTGTGCTCAGCATACAGTCAGCACTCAATAAATGTCAGCTACTATTGGTTTACTCCTGGAGCTCCCAGAACAGGGCATGGCTAGAAGAGGTGGATGAGTGGGTCCCCATCTCTCAGCGTGGCTCGAGCCAGATGTCCCAAGCTTGTCCTCTTTGTTTGCAAGTCAAACGCAAATATGTAGCTCATGAAGCTTTCTGAGAGCTGTTATGAACTGTCTGCTGTGAGTTTGTTAATCCCCCACAGTTCATATGCTGAAATCCCAACCAATGTGATGGTATTTGGGGATGGGACCTTTTAGGGGTAATTAGGTCATGAGGGTGCAGCCCTCATGAATGAGATTAGTGCCCTTATCAAAGTGACTTGAGAGAGCTCTCTTGACCCTTTTGCCATGTGAGGACATGGTGAGAAGGACATAGTTGAGAAGAAAGCAGTCTATGAACCAGAAAGTGGGCCCTCACCAGATGCTCAATGTGCTGGCGAATTGATCTGGACTTCCCAGCCTCCAGAGCTGCGAGGAATAAATGTTTGCTGTTTGAGCCACCCAGTCTATGGTATCTTGTTACAGCAGCCAACCAAGACAGGACCCTCAGGACTGTTCTGAGCCCCCCAGGGTCCCCTGGGCCTGTCAGGGTCACGTGGTCTGGGTGTAAGTGTCGCGGGGGCCGCCCACTGGGAGCTGCCTATGGGAGACCTACCAGAGTCGGAGATGTCATCCCAGTAGGGAGAGTCAAACTCATATTCCGCCTTGAGGATCTGCTCAAAGAGCTTGGAGTCATTTTCATCATAAAAAGGAGGGTAGCCGCAGAGCCTAGGAGACAAAATGGAGTAAAAGCTGGAACATCTGCATAACCAGTGTGGTGACTGTACACTTTGCCTGGAAGGAAGAGACATTACCAACTGAGTTAAGAAAATCTGGCAAGGCACAGTGGCTCACGCAGGTAATCCCAGCAATTTGGGAGGCCAAGGCGGGCAGATCACTTGAGGCCAGGAGGTCCAGACCAGCCTGGCCAACATAGCAAAACCTCGTCTCAACTAAAAAATGCAAAAAAAAAAAAAAAATCAGCTGACATGGTGTGGTGGCTGGTGCCTATAATCCCAGCTACTTGGGAGGCTGAGGTGGGAGAGCCTCAAGGGAGAATCCTTGAGCCTGGGAGGTGGAGGTTCCAGTGAGCCAAGATCGCATCACTGCACTCTAGCCTGGGTGACAGAGCGAGACTCTGTCTCAGAAAAAAGAAAAGAAGAAAGAAAAAGAAAAAGAAAATCTGTACCGCGTGTGTTGCAAATATAATCTCAACCAAGAAAGCACACATTCCGCAAGGATAGGTGACACAGGAGTAAAACTGCGATTTAATAAATAGCAAAAAGGGTCAACTCAGGTCATGATCAAAGGTAAATAACTATTGAAGTCCCCCTTAACTCTCTGCACAGAATTAACCACAGAATCCCACACGCCCTAAAAACCTAACAGACAGCCTTCTTCACATAAATGTTATTGATCTTACTGTATGTAATACTGTCCCTAACAGAGGATGAGCTGATGGAGAAAACAAACAAAAGATATGTTTAATATCCATTTCAGGGCCCTTCCAGGTTCATTTTATTTCAGAAATCACCAGAGGAAGAAAATGAAATTTTATGACGTTGAGTTTCAAGTTGCCACAAGACACCATAACCTGCACATTGTCACGCACATAACCTGCACATCAGCACACTACCATGCCCAGACTGAGTATGCGGAGGGTTGTGGTTTTGCCCATTAACATGCAGTAAGTATCAGCAGGGCTGACAGACGTTGTAAGCCTACAATATCATAATACTACCCATTTTTCCATGGATCCATTTCAAAGTTGATTTTTAGCAGATCATATTAATGCTGGTGCAAGTGACTTATAATTTAGAGTTCTGGTGGGACAACAGGCATCTGACACACACAATGGGAGTGGAAATTCTGATTAACTAGACCCACTACAATTCATTCCATAAAGTCATGGATTCTCATTTCAGTTCTGAAATCAGTTTCAATGCTACTTTTACCAGTGATGCATTTTTTTGGACCAAAATTTCCTTCCCTGAAAACACGAGGGGCTGGCCTAGAAAACCCCTAATATTTTTTCCAGCTTTAAGATACCGTGGCTCTATGATTCAGTTTGGCTGGCTAAAACACTCAGGAAAAGACCTAGAACATGCTTGGGGCCCGTGTGGAGGCAGGGGCTGGCCTTGGTTTACACTGGACGGCCAGGAAGAGGTGGGCCTAAGGCTGCAGGAAGGCGGAGCTTGATTCCAGAAGGCCAGGGGCAATGCAGCGTGGTGCAGAACTTGCTTCTCGGGCTGCGACAACCCAGAGGGTGGCAGCCACGGTGGCAGTTCTTTTTTTTTCTTTCTTTCTTGAGACAGAGTCTCCCTCTGTCACCCAGGCTGGAGCACAATGGCGTGATCACAGCTCACTGCAACCTCTACCTCCTGGGTTCCAGCTATTATTCTGCCTCAGCCTCCCAAGTAGCTGGGATTACAGGTGCCTGCCAGCATGCTGGGCTAATTTTTGTATTTTTAGTAGAGATGGAGTTTCGCCATGTTGGCCAGGCTGGTCTCGAACTCCTGACCTCAGGTGATCCACCCTCCTCGGCCTCCCAAAGTGCTGGGATTACAGGTGTGAGCCACTGAGCCCGGCCCATGGTGGGAGCTCTGACCCAAACAAGCCCTGAATTGTACCACATAGATCAACATTGTTCAACACACAGCCACAGCCTAGGGACCAGTCTAATGAGAACAAATTAACAAGAAACAACAGAGCGCAGGACTGCGAGGGATTAGGCTGTCAGCACACAAGAAATGCAATACAGGTTAGAAACACCACCTTGGTACCGCCATTCCTCAGCTGTTCCTCCCGTGGGACGCACATCGCCAGCCATCGCTGCGCAGGGGCGTGCCTGATGACATTTTTAAAGGCTGTGAGACATTCTGTGGGCCCGTAAGAATCAAAATAATCTCTCCCCACAAGGTTGCCTTAGGGACTAAGAGCCTGGAAAATTTCATTTTTAAAGATGTGCTGCTTTTAGTGAAATGAACAAGAGCCAGGGCTTCCGAAACCACCAGGCACATAGTTCACTGCCCACGGAAATCCCGGAGCCCCAAGATGGGTCTGTCCATTTCTCCCACGATGAGGATTCAGGCAAAATGAAATGTGCATATTAGGAAACGCAGACAGAGCAAAATGTTAGTTCATCTTGGAGAAAAAACTAAATTCTAGATATGTGAGGTTTTTGTTTATTTACAACCGTGTGTGTTTTTCTTTAGGGTTTGGCTTTCTTTGCAAGGAAAAAATTCTTTAAGAAAATTCCGAGAAACATTTATTCTCTGGGTGCCAGTTTTTTAAATGTATATTCCAGTTTCTTCTGGTCTTAGCTCTTTTTTCTTTCCGTGTTTTTGTATTATAGGATATTGTGTTTATGTGGCTGAACTGAGGACACAGGAAAAGGACATGGATTGAGCTTGGAGCCTAAGTAAGTCAAAATTAAGAAAAAAGATTTAAAAGTAAGGATTGTAAAATAACAGAAGGACAAACAGAAGTTACAAAATCTTCCTTAGATCTAGAAATTTCAGAGAGCTCCCTGGCCAAGCTATGTCATTAGCAGGTTTGTGTGGAGGTGATCTAACAGAAGTAACAACCTTGGGCTGTTTAACTTGATACACAGAGGACTTCTGTGACCATGGGGCCGCCCATTCACACTGGTAATCCCAGGGTTGTTAACGAATGTTCCAGAAGTGTGGCTTCTTTTACATATCCAACCGTTTAAATAATCTACAAATTATATCGCCAAGGGTCCTCAAAGGCAATAATGCCTTTCCCAATTTTTCTAGGCTTCAAAGTTCCTGATTCAGAATAACACTGGCATTTGCAACTGTCACACCCAATCAAGGCAATTCACCTCCAAAGCACTCTTCACTGCCTCCATCCCAGCTTCGGGTCTGTCTTCTAGGAAGAACTCTTACATCTTACTGTCTTTCCTGTTGCCTTTTTCCCCTCTCCCCTCAGCCCCCTGGGTCTAGAGGTGCTCACAGCTCAGCTGCAATGAGGCCCAGGGTCATGGGTGCTATTCCTTGTGGTTCCCACACCTCCCTTTTCGTATACGGTCCTTGCACATCCCTCTTTTTAAAGGCAAAGAAACCAACATGCAGAAAAATCAGGGCTTGAGCCTATTCTGTCGGATTTTTAGGCCTGTGTTCTTAACTATTTTGCTCATGCACTAAAGGGAGGGGACTCAAGAATTGAACTTCGGGCGTTGAAGTCAATCTGACTTTGTGTTCTCTCTGTGGGGCGTTTGGTTTGCTCTACCTGCCCCTGCATCTGCAAGTGGAACCCTCTGATGGGACCCTGCCTCTCCGCCCCCATCTCCCTCAGGCAGGGTCTAACAAATAAGATGCTACCTGGGCCGGGTGTGGTGGCTCACGCCTGTAATCCCAACACTTTGGGAGGCCAAGGCGAGGAGATCACCTGAGGTCAGGAGTTCGAGACCAGCCTGGCCAACATGGTGAAACCCGGTCTCCGCTAGAAATACCAAAATTAGCTGGGCGTGGTGGCAGGTGCCTGTAATCCCAGCTACACGGGAGGCTTAGGCAGGAGAATTGCTTGAACCCGGGAGGCGGAGGTTGCAGTGAGCTGAGATCACACCACTGCACTCCAGCCTGGGCAACAAAGCGAGACTCCATCAAAAAAAAAAAAAAAAAAGTGGTGCTAGGGCAGTACCAGCCACAGCCACATGGGACACCAGGCAGTGACTGTTATATTTTATTTTGTGGTAAGGACACTTAACATGTGATCCACCCTCCTAACGCCTTTTTTTTTTTTTTTTTAATGAGACAGGGTCTCTCTCTGTCACCCAGACTGGAATGCAGAGGTGCAATCTTGGCCCACTGCACCCTCCCATCTCCCAGACTCAAGCCATCCTCCTGCCTCAGCCTCCCAAGTAGCTGGGACTACAGGTGCACGCCACCATGCCCAGCTATTTTTTTTTATTTTTGTAGAGACAGGGTTTTGCCATGTGGCCTAGGCTGGTCTGGAACTCCTGGGCTCAATCCACCTGCCTCTGCCTCCCAAAGTGCTGAGATTACAGGTGTGAGCCACTGTGCCTGGCATCTTAACACATCTTTAAGTGTACACTACAGTACTGTTGACTATAGGTGCAATGTAGCACGGGAGGTCTCTCAAACACATTTATCTTGCTTCACTGAAACTGTATACCCAGTGATTAGTAACTCCTCATGTCTCTCCCTCCAGTCCCTGGCAGCTACCATTTCCACTCTTTCATTCTATGAGTTTGACTATTCTAGATACTTTGTATAAGTGGGATCCTGCATTATATGTCTTTCTATGCCTGGCTTGTTTCACTTAGCACTGTGTCAATGTCCTCAAGGTTCACCCATGTTGTCACATGTTGCAGAATTCTCTCCTTTTTAAAGGCTGAATAGCATTCCATTATATGCATCTACCACAGTTTAACCACTCATATGTTCATGGACACTTAGCTATTCAGCTATTGTGAATAAGGCTGCTATGAACATGGGAGTGTTAATCTCTCTTCAATATCTTGATTTCCATTTTTTTGGAATTGCTAGATTATATATGGTAGCTCTATTTTTAATCTTCTGAGGAATTGCCACACTGTTTTCCATAGAGTCTACACCCACACATCCTCCCCAGCCCTTGCCTTTTTGATTTCTCAATGACATACAAATGGTCAACAGGTATGTGAAAAAATGCTCAATATCACTAATCATCAGGGAAGTGCAAATCAAAACCACAAGGAGATGCCACTTCCCACCCGTTAGGATGACTATTATCAGGCAGTGATTTTTAAAAAGTATTTCTGTATGGATTTTTTTTTTTTTGAGACAGAGTTTCACTCTGTTGCCCAGGCTAGAGTGCAGTGGCTCAGTCTTGGCTCACTGCAACCTCTGCCTGCTGGGTTCAAGTAATTCTCCTGCCTCAGCCTCCTGCGCACCTGGGATTACAGGTGCACACCACCACACCTGGCTAATTTTTGTATTTTTAGTAGAGATGGGGTTTCACCATGTTGGCCAGGCTGATCTCAAACTCCTGGCCTCAAGTGATTCACCCACCTAAAGCTCCCAAAGTGCTGGGATTACAGGGATAAGCCACCACACCCAGCCCTGTATGGATCTTATAGTATTTCACAGTTTTCGTTTTGTTTATTTGTTTGTTTTTTGAGAAGGAGTTTCGCTCTTGTTGCCCAGGTTGGAGTGCAGTAGCGCGACCTTGGCTCACCGAAACCTCCACCTCCTGGGTTCAAGTGATTCTCCTACGTCAGCCTCCAGAGTAGCTGGGATTACAGGCACCTTGACACTACACCCGGCATTTTTTGTATTTTTAGTAAAGATGAGGTTTCACCATGTTGGCCAGGCTGGTCTCAAACTCCTGACCTCAGGTGACCCACCCAGCTCGGCCTCCCAAAGTGCTGCTGTGAGCCACTGTGCTCAGCCGCTGTCTTCATTTTTAATCAGCCGACATACACATAGTCACTTGGTGCCTCCTGGCCTACGTAGGCCTACCTAGGCCAGGAGGAGGTATACCAAGCACTCACACGTCAAGTATTTGTGTTGCACCTACTATATACCAGATACTGAGTTTGATACTGGAAATACAATGCTAAGTTAAGAACCAGTTTCTGCCTTCAAGAGCTCAGAGTGGGTGAGAGAGGCACATAAAGAGATAATAATGACATGGGTGACAGTAACAATAGAAATCTGCAGAGGCTATTCCGGGTATACAAGGGCGTGCAAGCCAAGCAGCTTTGTGGGAGTGGAGGAAGTGGATGCCTATGCCCTATCTCAGGGGATAAGCAGGAATTTTACGGGAGAAACAGGTGGGCTGCCGGCAGGAGTGGCTGCCCAGGAATAAGAGCATGGGGCATAAAACAGCAGTTTATTCCAGCATGGAAGAGCAGCTTGCTGCTGCGGTGCGGCATGTGAGCTGGTTTGCAGCTAGAGCTGAGGTGAGGCCTGGCAGGGCTGTATTCCCCACCCTAAGGTGGGTGGTCTATCTTGCAGGTAGAAGGAAGCCCCTGAATGGTGTAGACAGAGGGGCGATAGGGACAATTGGCTTTGCAGCAGAGATGTGGCGGGTTTGAGTCAGGAAGACGAGTGGCCAACTTGCTGCAGCCAGAGGAGACAGGGGGGCCTGCAGTGGAGCTGGACGGAGGAACGGACAGTTCAGACAGAACCGGGCAGATCTGGTGTAGGACGGTGTAACCAGTGAAGGCCAGGATGCCTCAAAGGTCCCCAGCATGGACTACAGATGATGCCCACTGTGTGAAGAATGCAGGACAAGGAGCAGGTAGCCGGGGTGGCCTGGCTGTTATCAACCACAGCACCTGGTAATTCCAGCTCCCTCTTCAGTGGACGCTGCCTGCTCAGAGAGGCGGCTCCAGGCAGTTCTTTGAAGGCAGGGTGAGGAGGAGAGAGGGCAGCTGAGCCAACTCCCTGAGGCAGCCCCATCCCTGGTAATTAGCTCTGATAACTACACTGGATCTTGCCTAGGTTTCAACTGAACACTAAAAGAAAGCAGGGAAGAGGGCAGAGCATGGGCCGGGAGGAGAGATCTCCACTCAGTGGTGAGGCTGTGAGAGGAACCCACGCTTGTGGCCGCATCAGTGCTAGGCCTTCCAGTTCATTCCACACGAAGCTGTGCAACAAATCTCTCTTCCTTAAGGCAACTGGAGAGAATGTGTTCCATGCACCCAGAACTGCCAACATCCCACAAAGGATATCAACGAGTGATTCCTTTCATGCCGGGCAGAGCTGGACCAGGTACATGTGAGAGATTCAGGTGAAGGTAGCCAGCAGGCAGCTGGAGTTAGAGGCCTTATGCCAGGGACAGGTGTATCATGGGGGTGCTGGAATACAGCCATCAGCACATGCATGAAAACCGGGACAGCAGATAAGATCACTCAGAGTAGATAAGATCACTCAGCTCAGGGGTCGCACACAGACCCTCTACAGACCTGATCTGGCCCATGATGTGTTTGGCCAGCAGCGATTTCAAACAGATGTGACTTTGAGTGACCAGAGACAGGTGTTGATCTAGCCAGACCGCCACAGCCCCAAAGTCCCCACGGTCTTGGCATATTGAAGCATGTATGTATGTGGATGGGGACCAGACACAAATTCCCTGGAAGCCTGGCATGGCTGGCTGGCTGGGTAAGAACAGCTAGTTTATCCACTTCTTTTTGTGTGCCAGCAAGCCCCTGGCATGGACAAAAATCACCTAGCTGATTACACATTAGGTCATCTCCCTGGCCCTCCACCTGCTCAGTTGGTGACTTTGAGTCAAGGATCAAGGGTGGAGCTCGGGAGAAGGACACTTTGAAAGAGGGGAGGAGCCTCAACACGGTTAGGCCCTGCTGGGCTGCAGAGCTGCAAAAGGGACGCAAAAGGGGTGAGCCCTGCTGGCCAGGGCCCAGAGGCTGGACGCTATGGAGCAGGTGGATTCCTCCTCCACAGCTGCTGCAGGAAGGCAGGGAAGAGAGAGCAGTCTGACAGGTAATCAGGGAAGGCTCCCGGGAGGAGGTGTGACCTGCATCTACAGCAGTGATTCAGGCTGGGAAGCTTACATTAATAAAACCGCCTGTCAGGGACTCCTCTGGCTGTCACCAAAGACTGAGCACTGACCAGGTCCCAGGCATGGAACAGACGGTCTGAGTCCCTATTCTCATGCCATTTACATTCTAGTTGGGGGTCAGGGGGACAGATACCCAACACTAACCTTCAAAATAAACAGGAAGTGTAAAAAATACCCAGAAAAGGTCATTTGGAGCTGGTCAGGGGAAGCCTTGCATCCTCAATCGAGAAAATTCCTTTCTACACACCGTTCTCTGTGCCCAGGGCTGCTCTTCTCCCGCTGTGCACAGACGTGACCTGCTCTCCCCCAAAGCCCCGTGCACAGGTCTATGCTCAGTGATGTCTTTCTTGATCCCACCCGGCCAGGGCAGGCCCCCACCTTGGTGTTCTCCAAGTTTGCTAGGCACCATCATCGTGGCATGCGTGTTGGTTTCTGTCTATGTCCCATTGTCTTCTCTGATACAGTCTGAGCCCTCCAAGGGTGGTGATGCCTCATTCCTTTTTGCAACCCTGGTCCTATACCAGTACACAGCATGTGCTCAGCAAAAGGTGGCTGGATGCCCGAGTCATTAAATGCCTGTGTTTCAAGGACTGCCACCCCAACCTGACTCGGTCCCTCTCCAAACAGTTCTCATTCTTCACAGTCCAGCCCACCTCCCTCTTGGGTTCTCTTAAGAAATGTAAAGATATCGGCCTATTGGCCAGGCGCGGTGGCTCATGCCTGTAATCCTAGCACTTTGGGAGGCCGAGGTGGGTGGATTGCTTGAGGTCAGGAGTTTGAGACCGGCCTGACCAACATGGTAAAACCCCATCTCCACTAAAAATATAAAATTAGCCGAGCATGGTGGCGCACGCCTGTAATCCCAGCTACTCGGGAGGCTGAGGAAGGAGAATCACTTGAACCCGGGAGGTGGAGTTTGCAGTGAGCTGAGATCGCGCACTGCACTCTAGCCTGGGCAACAAGAGCAAAACTCTGTGTTTAAAAAAAAAAAAAAAAAAAAGAAATGTAAAGATATTATGGCTTATTATCATGATTATAATGTTTACCTTCCCACCTTGGTAATAAGTCCCTGAAGGACAAAGACTGTGCTATATCTAGTATTTCTTTTTTTTGAGACAGTCTCATTCTGTTGCCAGGCTGGTGTGCAGTGGCGCAATCTCGGCTCACTGCAACCTCTACCTCCTGGGTTCAAGCAATTCTCCTGCCTCAGCCTCCCGAGTAGCTGGGACTACAGGTGTGCGCCACCACACCAAGCTAATTTTTGTATTTTTAGTAGAGACGGGGTTTCACCATGTTGGCCAGGATGGTCTCGATCTTCTGACCTCGTGATCCGCCTACATCGGCCTCCCAAAGTGCTGGGATTATAGGCGTGAGCCACCGCGCCCGGCCTAGTATTTTTTTTGTATCTTTTTTTTTTTTTTTTTTTTTTTGAGACAGGGTCTAGCTTTATCATCCAGGTTGGAGTGCAGTGGCATGATCATAGCTCACTGCAGCCTTGAACTCCCAGGCTCATACAATCCTCCTGCCTCAACTTCCTGAGTAGTGGGAACCACAGGCGTGCACCACCATACTGGGCTAATTTTTTTTTTTTTTTTTGGTACAGACAGGGTCTTGCTGTGTTGCCCAGGCTGGTCTCGAACTCCTAGGCTCAAGAGATCCTCCCACCTTGGCCTCCCCAAATCCTGGGATTGCAGGCATGAGCCATCATACTCAGCCTGTATCTTTCATTAGCACTCAATAGTATTTATTTATTTATTTATTTATTTATTTGAGACGGAGTCTCACTCTGTCGCCCAGGCTGGAGTACAATGGTACAATCTCCACCTCCTGAGTTCAAGCGATTCTCCCAACCCATCTTCCCAAGTACCTGGGATTACAGGTACCCACCACCACGCCTGGCTAATTTTTGTATGTTTAGTAGAGATGGGGTTTCACCACATTGACCAGGCTGGTCTTGAACTCCTGACCTCAGGTAATCCGCCCACCTCTGCCTCCCAAAGTGCTGGGATTACATGTGTGAGCCACTGCGCCTGGCCTCGATACTATTTAATGAATATTTGTCGATCGATTATTCTTTGATGAACAAGAAATACTTTGTGTGAAATATTTATGCTTGTGTGTGTGTACTGACTTAAGAAGTTGTACTGAACATCCCAAAATAGGTGTTTACCCTGAAAAAGGAAAATTGAACCAAATTTTCCCAAGTGTAGTACTTTTTCAGTTATTTTTGCAGTAAAGCCTTCTGATGGCCAATGGCATCCACTGTAAATGACACCCCTCAAGGCAGACTGGAATGAACACAAGGAAACTTCAACAAATATGCCCTGGGCCCACCCCATCCAGGGCCCCAACAACGGCCTCCAGGGACTTCCTTGCTGCGGAGCTCCTCCCACCAGCAACTGCCCAGCAGATGACACAGTTGACAGGTGGCGCCTCCCGCTCCCAGCCTGAGTCCTCAAATCAGAAGCTGAAAAGTATGTTTGAAGAAGTGCTTTTCAAAGTAGGGGGATTCACACAGTCAAAGATTTTATTCTGGGGTCCAGAAGCTATCACCTGGTCCAACCCCTTGTTTAAGAGACAGGGAAAGTGAGTCCCAGGGAGCTGAAGAAGAGACCTGGGCATCTGTCCAGAGCTCTGGTCTAGAAAAAAACAAAGGCTACTTCAAGCCAATTCTATACACACACACATAGTTATTATTATTATTATTATTTTTGAGATGGAGTCTCCCTCTGTTACCCAGGCTGGAGTGCAATGGCGTGATCTCGGCTCACTGCAACCTCTGCCTCCTAGGTTCAAGTGATTTTCCTGCCTCAGCCTCCCGAGTAGCTGGGCTAATTTTTGTATTTTTAGTAGAGATGGGGTTTCACCGTGTTGGCCAGGCTGGTCTCGAACTCCTGACCTCAAGTGACCTGCCCGCCTCAGCCTCCCAAAGTGCTGGGATTACAGGTGTGAGCCACACCCACCCTTGGCCAATTCTACAGATACTGACAGGGCACTGGTGTTGTGTGAAATGCTGATCATGGAGCAGTGAGTAAGACAGACCCAGGTCTTGCCCCTCAGGGTTCCATAGTCCAGCCTTATTTAAATGGGACAGTGGAACATTTACTTTTCTACAATAGAGAAACCACTTCTAGTGAATGTGTCCTATAAACGTTAATAACCACATCTACCATGTACGGAGCTGTCACCGTGCCAGGCACTGGGCTATGTAATTTACATATATTATTGTCTTATTTAATGCATAGTTCTAAGTTTTTCAATCTTCAATTTCCAGATGAGGAATTAAATGCATGAAAGATTAGGCTACTTGCTTACATCTAAGGGACAGCACAGAATTTTAGTCTCTTTGTCCAACTCCAGAGCCAGGTCATATTAACCTTTAGGACCTCCATCCAGATGTGCCACTGCAAAGATGGGGAAACACCACACCTGCATGTTCTCTTTCAGAACCTGCCTCTGCAGTCAGACGGTCATGATTTTTCTGTATCATACTTTTAGAAACAGAGCCAGAGACGAGGCCACGTGACCTGCCAAAGAAATGAAGAGCAGGCCGGGGGCGGGGACTCACGCCTGTAATCCCAGCACTTTGGGAGGCCACGGTGGACGGATCATGAGGTCAGTAGTTCAAGACCAGCCTGGCCAACATGGTGAAACCCCATCTCTACTAAAAATACAAAAAATTGGCCAGGCGTGGTGGCACACAGCTGTAATCTCAGCTACTCGGGAGGCTGAGGCAGGAGAATTGCTTGAACCCAGGAGGCGGAGGTTACAGTGAGCTGAGATTGTGCCACTGCACTCCAGCCTGGGTGACAGAGCAAGACTCTGTCTCAAAAAAAAGAAAGAAATGAAGAACAGCCCAGAAGTCTTGCAGTTCCAAAATCAATGCGGAATGTTCTACCCAGTCTGCATTTCTGAAGACAGATGGGAGGAGAATGGCCAGGATAATGATGGCCCTGTCTGTGGAGAAAGGGCCTGGAGAAAACTGAGACTGCATTTATACTGAGAAAATCCCAACAGGACGGAGAAGCCTTTTTCAGCGCTATGCTCCCATGCAAAGCTGCAAGAAGATACAAAGGCAAAAGAGTTCCCTCTGGCGAGACCTTGCAGGGCTCTGTGAGGCTGGCCAGGGGACAGGAGTGCCTCGCTGATGGGGAGAAATTGGAAAATAAAGTTAATAGATATAAGTGAATTTTCTAAACACCTGTGAAAGTGCTGACACTTATTTTAAAATATTTTATGAAAAAATATTTGAACATAGCAGTTCACACTGATAACTGAATAATCATTAGTTAATGGCAACCCAGAACTCTCTGTTTTAATCCAACTGGGAGAAAAGGCCATGAAGGAGAATAGAAGTGATTTTTTCAAGGAAAAAGGGCGACTTTTTCCTTGTGTGGCAAGTCTTCCTCAGCCAGGAAGTCAGAGGAAAGGAGACACAGGTGCAGAGCCTAGCTCCATCAGGAACTGTGTGAGTGACACTGGGGAAATGAGTCACCCACTCTGAGTCCAGTTTATTCAGTGAATGGGGATAACAACACCCACTTTATATAAATATTGGAACATATGTCATGTATTCCATGTCCTAATATGTATGACACATAAAACACACATAGATATACAGACAGGTGATGGATAGATATAGATAGATGATAGGTTGATAGAGATAGATGACAGATAATGATAATGAAGATAGATATAGATATGAAGATAGACAGATGAGATGGATAAATAGGTAGATAGATAGATGGATGGAAGGATGGATGAATGGATAGACAGATAGATAACAGAAAGATGAATGGATTGGTGAATGGATGGATGGGTGGATGGAAGGATGAATGGATAAACAAATAGAAGATGGATAGATGGATGAATGGATGGATGGATGAATGGATAGATAGATGACGGATAGATAGATGAATGGATGGATGGATGAATGGAAGGATGGGTTGATGAATGAGATGGACAGATGGATGGATAGATAGATAGATAGATAGATAGATAGATAGATAGATAAGATAGATAGATAGATAGATAGATAGATAGATAGATAGATAGATAGATAGATAGATACACACACAGACAGAAATATGGATGGATGGACGGACAGATGGATGGATGGATGGATGGATGGATGGATGGATGGATACTAGAGATGTAACATCTGAAAGTTCCAGTGACATAGTGATCATTAAATGCTGCTTCCCACACCCTTATCCCCCTCTTCTCCTTTTCATCCCAACTCCATCTCCTCCTTCTCAGGTTCCTCCAGCTGAAAGATGCTGAAGTGAGAGGGCAGCCACACAGCATCAGGAAGAGCAATGTTGAGGTGGAGAGAGGAGCAGATGAGCCCTGAGGACTCACCCCAATGTCCCACACTCTACCCATGAAAATGATGCAACATACTTTAAAATTTTGGGCAACAACTCAGAACCACCCACTAACAACCATACACCCTGACATAACCTTCTAAGCTGCTGCAGAAGGGACAGAGGGAGACGCTGCCTCTGGTCATTATTCTGAGCGCTGTATTATGAACATGATGACAGAATGCACTCAACCTGCTTTAGAAGTTTGATCTTTGTGTGCCAGTATTTCTGAACACTTAGCCAAGGATGGATGGCTCAATTCTAGAACAGCTCAAGCTTTCCTGAGAACGCCTGCTCAAAGGCATATTTGTTAAGGAGTATTTTTTATGCAGTTAGGCCAAGGTGCCATAAAAATGACCGAAGCAACAAATCTCCATGTATATTACACACTAGGCAAGCTTCAAGGCCAACCCAGGCCCAATGGGGGTCTGAAAAACACGAGCAAAATCAATCAACTCTGGGCATTGCTCCTTAGGATGTCAGAGTGTGCCCACATGTAGCGACCACTGGGTGGCCACTGTTTGTCCTCTGCCTTGGCACTCGGTCAGTATTTAACATATGTTTATTGAATGAATGTCTGCATCCTGTAGGAAGAAATCTGAATTGTATTCATCTTACTCTGTATAATATGACAGACTTTAAGAAATAATAAAATAAAGCAAAGCTTTTAAAAGCTGATAAATCTTTTGTACTTATTTGCAAGGCCAACTTAGTAACCAAAACAGGTTTTAGCATATTATTTGGATTTATAGCATTTAATGGCCAATGAGACCTGAATCGTTATAAAAACGTAATCCAATGATTTCAGTAACCGTATATTTGATTGTGTGCGTTTCCAGAGCTTTCTCCTTGCAAACTTAGAAGAGAGCAGGCCAGGGAAACTAGGAATGGTTCACATATTAAACCATGCAGAGGGTGACTCCGGCAAAGTACTGGTGATGAAAATGCAAGGGGGATAAATGCCTGCTGCACCCTCTGAGGTTTAGACAATGCCTTGAAAACTGAGAAGGAGTAAGCAGATTAGGAAAAGATTTAGGGGAAAAAGGAAAGGGAATACCAGAGAGGAAAAGGGAAACCCACTCCTTAGAAAGTTGATGCACGACTGAAATTGAACACTGGCGGGGAGGAGGGGAGGGAGAACAAAACACATCCCCAAGCATGACTAGTGAGCAGCAAAATCCACATTTTGATTCCTGCATTAGCCAGATGGACACCACCTCGAGAAAGCCCGGAGCATGTGTGCAGAGTACCAAGCCTCCTCCTAAAGGGCCAAATACATCTGCAGGAAGTTGGGAAAAAACCACTTTCAGAGCAGCTCATGGCTAACAGTGAAACTGAGCGCACACCTGGGACAAAGCAGAGGAGTTAGTTCTCACGAGGGGTGGATTTTACACCAAAGCATGAGGGGTGCAGACACCCAACCTGGAGGCGATTAGCACCAAGCGCTAACCGATGATGCGGAACCCATGGAGAATTTCCAAGTTAGATTTCTGCAGCTTGACTTTGCTTACTTGGTGGTTAGGTTCTTCCTTCCTCCCTCCTTCCCTCCCTAGCTTCCTTCCTTCTCTCCTTCTTTTTCTCCCTCTTTCCCTCCCTCCCTCCTAGTTTGGATGGGTAAGCAGTTACGCATCTGCATAGGCTGACAATGGCCCCAGGGCAATGTCGTGCTCCCTCCACCCCATTGGCTGAGGCCTTTCACTGCACTTTCGGCGTGTCCTCTTTGCTGACTCCCAACAATGCACTTCTGAGATGGACTAGAAAACAAGCCCTTGGAACGTGGACGGCAAGGAGACCAAAAGCGGGAAGGTGGCACCGTGCACCACATTACATGGTGTTGCGTCGAGTCGTGGGCTTCTGATCAACTCTTCCAAGGATCCTCCCACCCGTGTCCTCCAGGGTTTCCCTGACTTGCTGGTGTACGATGGAATCCCTCCCCTCCTGGCCTCCATCTCTACTCTCTTCGTCACAAATGGGGCCTGAAGCCACCCGCTTGCTATTGTGCCACCCACCGTGGAGCTGGGCATTTTCCCCCTGTGCATGTTCCTTGGTTCTTTTCACCATCTATGCCCTGCTCCTGTCCTGCTGAGTGCTGCTGCTGTGCACCTCCAATACATATATAAAACCATAATAAAGAGCCCCTGATTCTTCTGTGTGCACAGTGTCCTGCTAGGGGAATGAAAAATCCTGATAATTCAGAGACTATATTTTCCCCATCCCCAAGTTTGAGATATTAAAAGTTCAAAGCTCGATCAACTCCTTCAAACTCTATTTTAAACACTATGTTTCTAATTGAATGGCATCTCTTTTCTCATACACAAACAGCACATTTTATCTTTAGATAATTGAGTCTTGAGAGGATAAACCATCAGTCTCTCTAGGCAGATATTGAAGACAGAGCTCTTCCCGCAGCCTGGACTAGCTCTCTCCTGGCAGATTCTCACCCATCTTTCCAAACCCAGATCGCTGTAACCTATCCTGGGAAGGCTTCCTCAGGCCAGGGCAGAGTCCCAGCTCTGTTCTAGGAGCTGCCCCACCACCTCCCTCCCATTTCAGGCAGCTGGTAAGACTAGATTGTAATTTATCTGTTTAATGTCTGTCACCTCCAGCAGACAGTAAGTGCCTCCTAGGCCAGGCCGGTGATACATCCATCTCTGCATCCCCATCACACTGCCTGACACATGTTAGGCTCGATAAAAGTGAGTTAAGTGAATGGATGTCAGTCCCCTGCCTTCCATTCTTCAGGCCAAATATCCCAAAGCCTTTAGCTGCTATATAAACTATGGCTTCTAGGAGATGGGGTTAAGATGAAAATAAGAGCACAGGAAGTAAAATGTTTCTCCATCTGGCCTGAAGCCACGCCATTCAGGGCACAAAAGTGACGGCTGTGAGCCACTACCTTCTGACCTCTCGCTCTGTGGTGCCCTCTCTACCTCATGGCCTTTGAAGGCAAAGCCACAGAAGTTGGTGCATTCCACACGGCCTGAGGTCACCGGCAGGGAGTTGCTCCCCTCACCATCTAAAAGCCCGATTTCCCTCAACTGCTCTGCTTGTGAAGTTTCCCCCCTCACTGTTGTGTACCTCCTGTACCTGCTCTCTGACACCAGAGTATTTTGAGGGGTTAGAGGTAGTAAACCAATTGTCACAGACAATGCCTCAAGTCCCTTGCCTCAGCTTAACAAAGCTGAAATATGGCCCAAATTCTGCCTGCAACTAAAGCTGCAGGGACTCACAACCCACAGGTGGCATTTAGCATCCCCAGGATGGACTCGGCAGAGAATGTGATGGGGAGACGAGGTCCTTTCTGAAAACCCTTGGAAAGCAGCCAAACCGAAATGCAATCCATGAACTAAAATGAGTCAACTGGAAATCATAACAAACAATCGATGCCTGCTGTAATCAAACTACGATGCTGGAGTGATAATGGGAAATGGTGGGTGGCTGGTGGCTGGTCTTTAAAGCAGAAGAAAGGAGGGTTCATAAGAACTGGTCAGTAGGGGCTGGGCACTGTGGCTCATACCTGTAATGCCAGCACTTTGGGAGGATCACTTGAGGTCAGGAGTTCAAGATTAGCCTGGGCAACATAGTGAGACCCCGTCTCTAAAAAAAAAAAGTTTGTTGTGTTTTGTTTTGTTTTTAATTAGCTGGGCATAGTGGCACACTCCTATGGTCCCAGCTACTTGGAAGCTGAGGTGGGAAGATGACTTGAGCCCAGGAGGTCAAGGCTGCATTGAACTATGATTGCACCACTGCACTCCAGCCTGGGTGACAAAGCAAGACCCTGTCTCTAAACAAAAAAAAAAAAAAAGGAACTGGTCAGCTGTGCTACCCAGCCAAGAGAAAGAGCTGCTCAGCGGAATCATCCTTCTATGGAGAAGGTGGCCTGGAGACCAGCACAGGCTTCGTGAATATATCTAAGGCCACCCGCCTCCACTGCTCTGATACCCTGTTCCAAAAGAAAGAAAACTTCTGCTTTTCATTTGGTTTCTCACGGAGCATTTCCTATAGGGGAGAGAACATGTTTGTTTGCTGACATGCATATCCAATTACCTTGTGAGGCACAAACTGCATTATGATTTAGTAAGTGGACAGTCCAGTCTTTTTTTTTCTCCTCTGAGTCTAGTTACTGTGAATCAATTCACAAAGATGTCTGAACAAGATGAATAAACAGATCAAACTAAGTTTCCAAATTTCTAAAGCCAAAATCCAGACCATGGGCCCACAGTGGCCTGAATGAGGCACCGTGCCCCACCTCACAAAGCTCATGAATATAAGCAGGCGACTGTTGCCCGCTGGCCACATCAGTGAACAGTCCCTATTAAAGTCAGCACTCCTCATGCTGATAGGAATAACAGCCATCACGACCCCCCGGGGCTTGGGGCTCGGTGACCACGCTGCATTCTCTCTGGGGGATGCCTGGGCTCAAATTCTCCTTAGAACATATGTATTCCATCAAGAGCCAGCTGTCAATTGCTCAAAGGGATGGGAACTGCCTTGGCGAGGCTCATCTCTTGTTTCAGAACATGGATATAAGCATGCAGATTAGGCCTTCCCTGTTCCATTCTTCCAAAGCTAATTCAGCTGCATGCACAGGCAAATCGACATTTATGTGAGTAAATTTTAAAAAGTGAGCAATGTAGAGGCTCACTAAAGAAAGTGGAGTACCATCAGCGTTTTGCCTAGAGTTTCTTCTAGGCAGAGAGGTCTGAGGTCTCCCCACCCATGGCCAAGTTCAGCCCACCCGTCCAGCCTGCTCTTGTGCCTCTGACGTGCCTGTTCCAATTTGGGAGTGGGAATCTCTTTAGGATCCTTCTCAGCTGTTAGCCCACATTCAGTGTCTCCTCACAATACGCAGCATACTTGAGCATAATTTAGGCAAATGATCGTTAAATAATCATTTAAAAAATGAGTATCCTTCAAGTTCTGAGAAGAAAGGCGGGCCGCATGTTATCACAGAATCAAGATTGATCTGTGAGATGCTGAGGTTCATCTTGACTGAGAAAATTTGTGCCTTGGACCTTATGCTATCTTGGCTGAGCCAAGCCCGTCACACTGGACACCAACACGCTTATCACAAAGCGCAACCCACGCCGTCCTCAGCCCTTCCTGGCAGCATAAGCTATTTGAGCAAAGATGTTTTTTGCAAGTCCTAATCCCCAAAGCAAGATTCCTGGCAGGATAAGAACTCATCACATGGGTTTTTAAAAATGAGTGTCCTTGGTAGGAAAAAATACTTCTCCTTCCAAATGATGAATAGTAGATAAATGGAGACCAAAAGAGGGCCAATTTATCAAGGGCGCACACCAGCAAAAGGAGGAATGTTTATATGGCGTGCAAGAGGAGAAAACTCGGTGCCACGGCTTGTCACGGCCACTTTGGCTGCAGTCTGATATCTCAGCGTGACAGGTTTATCAAACAAAAATAAAAAATAAGAGTGCTATGCTCCAAAACACTGCAGGGGCTGACCTCTTTTCCATTACAGTGGCTGGGAAGAATGAGGCGCTCCGTGACTTCCGTGTGGGGAGGTGGCCTCCCTGGCATGCTGCCTGTTGCTCATGGACCGCTCAGTGGCCTTGTGCATAAGTCTTTAGGTGGGAATGGGAGACCAGGCACGGTGGACCCACAGGAAGGAGAAAGAGTCTGAGAATGAGACAAACGAGTTCTGATGTCTAACGCTGCTTAAATCCAGTGCCCACCTCTGACATCGACACAAACCCAGGCTACAGAACAGTCAGAGGATAGCTTCATGAGCCCTCACACAGGCCATGGCACCCTGCTCTGGTCCTTGCCTCCCTCCCCTGTCCTGTCTGATGCTCTTATCTCTCTGCTTATCCAACCTTCTAGACCCGCCTTGATGGTGCTTTTCCCTGTCCTCAATGACCACTGCATTCTGTGACCTACTATAGCTGTGCATGGGCCTCCCTGTACATCAGACCCCCAGCCTCAAACTTATCATTCTTAGTGTCAACAACCAGCATTTATTGATTACCTTCTCTATTCCAGGCACCGTGCAAAGGGTGAAACATGGAAAGATGATACAGACTCGATGCCTCTCAACAGAGTACCAACCATCTGTATGGTGAGAAAAGATGAATTCATAAGGAGATTAATCTACTGATAATAAAGTTGAGGCTGGTGGTACTCCAAGTGCAGTCGTGTTATATGGTCAATCATACCCAGGATTTGACCTATCACCCATAGGAGTCTGAACATCTTACAGAATACAACTGAGATGCCAAGGGTCCATTCATTTTCTGCTTGGGACTCACAGAGTTCTGGAAGGCACTAGGGAAAACAGAAGCCCAGGCTGCCATCTTGAAGTCTGACAGTGTCATGAAATTGATGTGGGACTAGTCTCTGGGGCAAAGCTAGTGTGACCAGGAAACCATCAAGTAGAAACTTACCAAATTTATACTCAAAGGAATACGGCATGTCTTTGCTTAATACTACATTTGAACCCTGGCAAATGTTGCAGTGCATACGGAAATCATAAGGGTTTGGGTGCACCACTTGTCAAATCATACTCAGAAGTACGTGCCAGGATCTCTATCCTGGACCTTTCCTGAATTCCACACGTGCATACACTACTCAGTGGGTATCTTCCAAGGGTCTCAAGCTTAATGTATCCAAAACCAAATTATTGATCTCACCCCCCTTCCTAAATCACCAAATTATTGATCTCACCCACCCTTCTAAATTGGCTCCTCTACCATTCCTCTCTCTTTTTTCTTAACCATCGACACAGTTATTTAAGCCAACTCCTTGGATTGAGACTTGAAGACTACCTCTCCTTCATCCTCCACATCCAAAATATATCTGAGATCTCTTCACCACTCTGCCCATAATCACTGCCTCCCCAGGAGAAGCGCCTCTCACTGTTCCTCTGCCCAGAGCTTCCCACTCATTCTCCACCTTCCACATTTTCCTTCCAACGCTTTCTTCAGAGTGGCTGGGATAATACTCGAACGTAAATCAGATCAGATCACAACACTGTTCAAAACCCTCCCTACTGCTCTTGGGTTAAAATCCAAACTTTCTAATCAGTCTCTCTTTGTTCTGGCACTAGGTTACTTCTTGCATGTCGCTTTCTGATGTATTGTCTTGATACTATCTAGCCATGCTGGCCCTCTTTCCAACATCTTCCTACCTACAGTCCATGGTAAACGTGGTTAGTTGCCTACTGCCAACACGTTTCCTGCCTCCTTCTTCACTAGAAGAACTGTGCTTTCACTCAAGGCTTCTCCCCACTGTCAACTGCTCCACTTGGCCAACCATGATGATCCTGTTTGCTTTGCCAGTGACTGGATTAGAAAAGATACCAGAGAGCTTGCTCTTCTGTACTTTCTCTACAGCATGTGAGGACACAGCAAGAAGGTGGCTGTCTGCAAGTCAGGAAAAGAGCCCTCACCAGGAAACGAATTGGTTGATACCTTGATCTTGGACTTCCAGCCTCCAGACCGTAAGAAATAAATATCTGTTGTTTAAACCACATGGCATTTTGTTGTAGCAGCCTGATCTGACTAAGACATCATTGCTTAGTTTTAAACTGCTTATCCCAGTCATTCTAAGAAACATCTGGCAGCATCTGTCAACAAGTACCTAACCAGAGCTGTACCAATGCCCCACCCCAAGGCTGTAACTTCAGGGAAATAATTATACAAACAAACCCAAAGGGAGTCCACAGACATTCGTGCAGACCATAGTCATGGTTCAAGGTCCAGATAGACATAAAGGAACAAATAACCAGAAGGCCAGAAAAAGGGCTACTTTCCCCAGCCCCAGGGAAGGTTTCTCTAGATGACTGATACCAGCTTCAGTTCTTTGCAGGAAGAGGCCTGGCCTAGCATTTATTTCCTTAAGCCTTCCATAGTCAAGCTGGATGAGGCAGGACCTCTGATAAGATTTCTAATTGAGGACTTAGAGAGCCAGGGTGAGTAACACAGGGCTCCTGTCCAGTGTCTGCTTACCCAGGACAATGACCACACCCCCCGAGAAAATGGTATGCAAAATTGTGTGCGTGCGTGTGTGTGTGTGTGTGTGTGTGCGCGCACACATGTGATTTTATTAGGGGATAGGATCCATGACCTTCATTAGATTCTCAAAAGGATGTGAAACACACCTCAAAAGGATAAAACTGCAAAAGGTGATCAATGTCTTTTGAAAGGGAAAGCATTCTGTAAGTGCAATATGTTAGTTTTAAAGCTCAGGTGAATCTGCCCTTTACCAATTTCCATAAACGAGAGTCCTTTAGGCCAAGTATATGGCAATGGATGAAATTCTCCTGTGATAACGACAAGAATCTACAGGCACTGTTACCTAAATCCACACTAAACTACAAATGCAGCCCAGCTGAACGCTGGAGAAAGGCCATCTGCTTCTCAGATACTGCACCAAAACCAATGTGGTGGTGGTGTAGTGGGGGAATGTTTCCAGCATTCCTGGAGGAGAAGAGGATGCCACACACTGCCAGAACTTTCTCCAATCACCATCCCCTGCAGTCTTTTATTGTGTGCAGGGGGCTCTTTCTGCAAGGAAATGTTTCTCCTTGGGGGTGATGAAATGGGGAAATTCATTTCCTAGCAATTGCAGAAACAAGTTGGCCTAAGCCTACCCTAAAAGTATGTTCCATAATAAGCATTTGAAAGTATAACTTGTAAAAGAAATTGTAATTTAAAAATAACTTTACAGTAGACTTAAGCAAAACAAATAAGAAACAAAACTGATGATCCTGAAATAACTGCAACAAGCCTATGGCCTAGAATTGCATTTCCTGGGTTATGGAGATAAGACGTCTCAGAAGAAATGAGAAATCTAAAGGCGAAATTGAGATTTTCATTGCATTTTTTTCTCATTATGATTTCTTTGGGAGATGTACTATTTCCAAGTGGTTTGTATCCACCAAAAAGCCAAAGTGGCACATGAAAAGAGGCTTAATTAGCTATTACAAAAATGCAAATTGAAAACCCCAATGAGATACCACTTCACACCCATTAGAGGGCTATTATTGAAAAAAAGGAAAATGGCAACTGTTGGTTTAGATGTGGAGAAACTGGAACCCTTGTGTTTGCTGCTGGGAATGTAAATTGGTGGTGCTGCTGCTACAGAAAACTGCATGGTGGCTACTCAGAAATTCAAGGTAGAACTACCACATGGCCCAGCAATTCCACTTCTAGATAGAAACCCCAAAGAAGTGAAGGCAGGGATTTAAACAGATATTTCTACACTTGTGTTCACAGCAGCATTACTCAAAAGGTGGAAACAACCCAAATGTCTATCGACGGACCAAGGGGATAAACAAAACATGGTCTATCCACACAACGGAATATACTCAGTTTTTAAAATGAAAGGAAATTCTGACCCATGCTACACCATGGATGGGCCTTGAAGATGTTTTGCTAAGTAAAATATGCCTGACATCAAAGGATGGATACTGTGTGATTCCACTTATATGAGGTCCCCAGAAGAGTCAAGTTCATAGAGACAGAAAAGAGTACAGAGGTTTCCAGGGGCTAGGGGAGAAGGGAAAAGGAGTTTTTATGTAAGGGGTAGAGTTTCAGTTTGGGGTGATGGAAAAGTTCTAGAAGTGAATAGTAATGGTGGTTGTGCAACACTGTGAATGGACTTAATGCCACTGAACTGTACCCTTAAACATGGCCCTGAACTGCACCCTTAAACTGTACCCTTAAAAATGGTAAATTTTGTTTCATGTATATTTCACCAAACAAAAAAAGGCCGGTAGAGGAAGAACCCAAGGCAGCAGGCAGTACTTACAAGATGTAGGCAATCACTCCGATGGACCAGCAGTCAACGGCTTTGCTGTAAGGTTTCTGGGCGAGGACTTCAGGAGCTGCAGAAAGACAAAGAAAAGACACAGCCTGACAATTTACATGCCTCGGACTGAAGACAGTTTTTGGGGTCTGCTATTTGGCCTGAACTTTCAGTGAGTATAAAAACTGAGTAGAGAGACATAACCCATTTTATGTGTTGGCTTTTTTTTTTTAAAGGAAGGAAGATAGGGTCTTGCTCTGTTGCCCAGGCTGGGGTACAGTGGCACAATCATGGCTCACTGCAGTCTTGACCTCCTGGGCTCAAGCAAACCTCCCACCTCAGCCTCCTAAGTAATTGGGACCACAGGTGCATGCCACCATGCCTGGCTAATTTTTATTTTCTTTTTTTTTAAGAGATGAAGTCTCGTGATATTGCCCAGCCTGGTCTTGAACTTCTGGCCTCAAGCAATCCTCCCCCATCAGCCTCCCAAAATGCTGGGATTATAGGTATGAGTCACTGCACTCAACAGGCATTTTTAACTAGAAAGAAATATGAAGACGCTACAGTATATAAAGAATGTAAATTAAAAAAAATGAAGGGGTGTGTGGGTGAGTGTGTGTGTGCGTGTGTGTGTGTGAGATGTGAGATTACTGATGGAACTCTGTCAGTCAACAAACACATAATACATGGCTATTTTATGGCAGTGCCGTACTAAGCACTGTAACACAAATCAGGCTGACATAAAAAGAAATACTCATTTTGAGGTCTGGAGTCTGTGACGTCACCTCAAGTCAGCTCAAGGCAACATTTCTGGCCTCTGTTTAGGGCCTTCTGGGTGCTGTGGGGTCACAAAGGTGAAGCCCCTCCCTGGGCCCTCCTGGAGGTGACAGTGCAGTGGAGCTCAGAGCTAAGGCCTACCCTCTGAAATTCCTGCTTCAGGCCTGCCCCTAATTCCTTCTCTAAGGTTTGGGGAGGGTGTCAGCATGCTCATTGCATTTTCCCATCTCATCTGTGAAACAGAAAAACTGCAATTCAACCTTGCATTCTTGGTTCTAAAGCACTCTTCATCAAGAGTCATCCATGCTGGGGGCTTGGGCTTGCTCTGTATTCCCTGTTCCTGGCCTTGTGGCTTGTTCTATACTGATTCTCTTTTACTGGCCTTGGGGCTTGTTCTATACTGATCCTGACTCCCTGTTCCTGGCCTGTGGCCATCGCCCAGCATTGGCTACCCACCCACTCTGGCGACCAGCAGCGTCTGGCATAGCTGGCACTCACTATATGTTAGTGCAAAGTGTAGAAAAATACAAGAAGAGGCAGTGAATCTGAGTAAAATCTCCTTTGCCCCCAAACATATCTGATGGCAGTGTCTTTAGCACAGACTTTCCAGAAAATTTTTAAGGATAGAGACAAATAGCTAGAGCTGACAAAGTACTTGTTGGATTCTGAGTTAGGTCTTCTTTTATGATGTATTCACTCACTCACCCCAACAATCCTTGACAGGAAGTGCTGGTAGCATGGTCACTATTATTCCCAAATTACAGGGGAGGACACAGAGGTATGAGAGGTCAGGTAAGTTGGCCAACGTTACCCAGTGGGAATGTGGCGTCTACACGAACTTCCTTTCAGAAGAGACTTCATTTATATTGTCTGCCATGAACTGGGTCCTGAGTGAGTCATTCATAAATGTTTTCTGCTACAATCCTTTGAACTCTGACAACTACCATGAAGTGCACCTGATAGGTGAGAAAAATGAGCCTCAGAGAAGTTAAGTAACTTGTCCCACATCACACAGCTAGATAGGAAAGAGCTGAGATTTGAAACCAGGTCAATCTGATCCTTGTTGCAGCTCTTTTCACTCAAACGTACTGTTTGCTAAGGTGAGAGCGTCTTCAGTCTAGGTTTACATGGGTGTCCAATCTTTTGGTTTCCCTGGGCCACAGTGGAAGAAGAAGAATTGTCTTGGGCCTCACATAAAATACACTAATACTAATAGTAGCTGATGAGCTAAAAAACAAAAATCGCCAAAAAAATCTCATAATGTTTTAAGAAAATTTACGAATTTGTGTTGGGTCACACTCACAGCTGTCCTCCGGGGGTTGGACACACTTGGAAAGGAAAAGTTCTTTTGCAGAAAAATGAAAAGGGAAATCCTCTCTTTCATCCTATTGACAGTAAATATATTCCTGAGCAAGAACAGGAAGGTAGACAAACCACTGCTGAGCGCCTCTGCCTATGGCAGTGAGGGATGCACTCCACAGATAATCCCCGAAACTGGCTTTAGTCTGCAACGCCCCCAAACTTTCTATCAGATTTTTATTTTTTTTAAACAAGAGCAAAATAAATACATCTGCACATCCTTTCTTCACCATGTTCACCCTCAAAGCGGCAGCAAAATGAGAGACAGAACTACAAAGTGAGGGAACTCAACCTGGGAGGGGCCGCCCTTGGCTGGCCGGGCGATAGCTGACTCGTCCGCCCCGACTGCTAAGAGCGTATTTCTCAAGACTCTTGTCTTATGGGAACTGACAAAAGGGAGCCACATTTACCACAGTTAATGTCTTTCTGATTTAGGAGGCATGCTCTCCCTGAGCTGCCACTCTGGTCCCAGTGGCCAAACAGGCACAGAGGCGTGAGAAGCAACGACATCCACAAGGACCATCCGGGGCCAGCCTCGTGGCCTGATGGAAAGTGTCCCTGAGGCAGAGAAGGCTCCTAGAGCAACGGCTGACCAGCTTCCCCTCCCGCAGAGCTGACAGCGTGTGTTGGGAGGGAAGAGCTAAGTTAGGGGGTGGAGGCGCTAGGTTCCAGATCACAAGAATCTGCAAAGCTCTTCAGTGAGATGGCGCAGCAGCCAGGCCTGGCCACTCCACAGAACCAGATATCAAACAGCACAGAGGTGCTGGGAGCTCAGGACAAACTTCAGGGCACAACCTCCTGCCCCGTGCCAGGTGCCCAGAGTTGGAGGCTGCAGTGAGCTATGATCACGCCATTGCACTCCATCCTGGGCAACAAGAGTGAGGCCCCATCTCTAAAATAAATACATAAATAAAAATAAAATAAAAGATTTCTGCTTTGGATAACAGCATGGTTGTTATGGGGGAAAGTTTAAATTATTAACAAGTAAATATCAGGATGACAATATTGGGGATGGAGATTTACATATTTGTGTCAAGAATTTGAACAAGAATATACATCTCTTGTTCTTTTTGGTGTTGTGTCTTATCTGTGTCACATCAACCAACAAAACATAATTTTTTTTTTGGAGATGGAGTGCAGCGGCACAATCTCAGCTCACTGCAACCTCCACCTCCTGGGTTCAAGCCATTCTCCTGCCTCAGCCTCCCAGATAGCTGGGATTACAGGCGTGCACCACCAGGCCCGGCTAATTTTTGTATTTTTAGTAGAGATGGGGTTTCACCATGTTGGGCAGGGTGGTCTCGAACTCCTGACCTCATGATCCACCGGCCTCAGCCTCCCAAAGTGCTGGGATTACAGGCGTGAGCCACCGCGCCCGGCCTCTGGTGACCTTCTTAATTGTGCTTGGAAACAAACGCGGGGGTAAAGAAAGAAGCCCAAAGCAACAGATACACGAGAAAGGAGCACAGACAAGGAAGCTGCGGTGCCTCCAACAGCTGCTTACACAGCCTCTGAGCAAAGACCCGGCGGATGCCCTAGCCAAGGAAGACAGCAGGAATACAAGGCCACAGCCACCGCAGAGCAGGCTTCCTGCCTAGGAAGCGCGGATACTCTGTGTTCTCGTGAGTGCTCTATGCTCACAGTTCTCCAGCATCGTGGATGGTGGGAGGGAGGACTCTTTAAAAGAACAACCTCCTCCCCGTCTTCATCATCTGTTAGAATGAGGAACATACTGGCCACCATCCATTGCTCAGAAAAAGAAAGAATAAAGAACATGGTTTTTTCTAGAAATCCACACATCAAGGGACACTGGCACATGACACATTTCACCCTCAATCTGGCAAATCTGCTGACACACTGGGCCGTGGTGCAAGGCATGTACAGGCTGGAAAAGCAAGGGGCTAATTTTTATGCTTGGATGTTACTTGAGATGTTTAGATTCTTCTTCTTCTTCTTCTTCTTCTTCTTTTTTTTCTTTGAGAAGGAATCTCATTCTGTCGCCCAGGCTGGAGTGCAGTGGCACGATCTCAATTCACTGCAACCTCTGCCTCCCAGGTTCCAGCAATTCTCCCACCTCAGTCTCCCCAGCAGCTGGGATTACATATGTGCGCCACCACGCCTGACTACTTTTTGTATTTTTAGTAGAGAAGGGGTTTCGTCTTGTTGGCCAAGCTGGTCTCTAACTCCTGACCTCAGGTGATCCACCCGCCTTGGCCTCCCAAAGTGCTGGGATTACAGGCGTGAGCCACCATTCCCAGCCGAGATGTTTAGATTCTTGCAGCCACAGACTAACTACACTTAAATAATTTTTAAAACACGAGACTCTGCTTAAATGGTAAAGTTTATGACATCAAGCATATGGTTAAGAAAAGGTTCCTGGGCTACATGTAGTGGCTCATGCCTATAATCCAGCATTTTGGAAGGCTAAGACAGGAGGATCACTTGAGCCCAGAGTTGGAAGCTGCAGTGAGCTATGACTGCACCATTGCACTCCAGCCTGGGCAACAGAGTGAGACGCTGTCTCTAAAATAAATAAACAAACAAACAAACAAATAAAAAAATACATAAGATTTCTGCTTTGGATAACACTATGGTTGTTATGGGGGAAAAGTTCTAAATTATAAACAAGTAAATATCAGGATGACAATATTGGCGATGGAAATTTACATATTTGTGTCAAGAATATGAACAAGAATGTACATTTCTTGCACTTTTTGGTGTTGTGTCTTATCTGTGTTATATCGACCAACAAAATACAAATATTTTTTAACCAATTAGAGGTGGGTAAACTATTTGTCTTCTGGTGACCGTCTTAACTGTGCTTGGAAACAAAGCCAGAGGGTGAATATAGAAGTGACATGTCACCCAGCAAACAAGACAAAGCAAATTGATTTGGAAATGACATTTCCACCAACATGAAATATTTTTAAAATTGCATAATGGCACACACACCCATACCCTAAATTCTAATTTCACTTGTGATTGCTGGAATCAAGGGTCCTTTGAAACATTGTTTGAAAAAGCCCACCAAGATCACTTCAAATAGCTATTTTTCATCTCACGGAAATTCGTGGAAAATATAACATTCTCAGGCAATTTTCAAAACTCTCCTGATAATTTGATATGGTGGCCAAACCGGGCCAAACCGTGGAGATCCACGAGGATGTTCTCTCTCCTGCTCGCCTCCTGTGATCGGGAGTCAGCTGCACTGTTTCACCAACCTGCTGAATTCACCCGGCCTTTCTAGCATAGCCCCCAACCCATCCATTTTCTTGTTTCAGCTGTGGTGAGGTACATAGCCCTGGGAGAGTCCACTTCTCACTCTGATCTTGTCAGACGCCAGTTTTCCTGCCTGAGAACCAGCCGAACCGGCCAGTGTTGTGTTACCAGTTTTATGACGCGTGGCAAGGACTCTGCTGTAATTCCAAAAAATCACAGCGTCCAGCTTCCAAACTTGCAGAAGACCAACGAGTTTCCAGACCCAGGAGGTGCCCAGCACAGTCCCTCCGGGGCCTCGGAAAGTGATGAGGGCTCTGAACTATGCAGCCACAGTTCCATCTCCTGGCCAGTGCTGCCTGGAGATACCCGAGAGCTTCCTAGTCAAGGAGAAATTGTATTCTAATCGTATGCAGCAGAATTCACGTGTGATTGGGGAACCTGACAAGGACTCCCTGCTGCTCCCATGCCTCCTGCAAGAGGGATGCTTTGAGTTCTTGCTTATTTGGAGCTACTAACAAAGACAGGCGGTCACTGAAAGGCTCCATGGCTTGTGTAAGATGTCCCCAGCCTCCAGACAAAGCAGGAAAGGGCCTATTCTCCTGGCCCAGACACAACAGAAGGCACATCCCCTCAAATGACAAGGCAAAGTCCCTGGGGGCTCTGTCAGTGGCTATAGGGAAACCCACCCACCTGGAGATATTACAAGGGACCTATGCAAGCCAGTCGGCACGTCCAGCCTTCAGGATATCCCTTAGGCTTGCCCAAAGCCAGCGTTTTGGAGCTGCAGAGAGTGGGGTTAGCGTGGGGGCGGCTGTACTCAGTTGACACACATTGGGCACAACGGTTGGGTTCCCAGGTGCATTCATCAAAATCCTGTAACACAATGGCCTCCTCTGACTCCCTCTGTACCTCCAATGTCCCTTTACTGCTGCATAAATCCCACTGTCAAATCAGATTTCACGCTGCTGGAGGGGCAGGGCAGAGCTCTCATCTCCGTATGTCCTGATTGGTCAGCACTTGGTGATTCAACTGAACCCAACCTAGTCGCCACACACCATTATTTCTGTGGAAAAATGTCTTCCAAATTCCACACGACTGGGCTACAAGTCAACTTTGCTGCCTGAAATATTTTTGGTGAGTAGGTACAAGAAAAAATAACACAGGACGGGCAGAGGCAGGGAACAAATGAATTTGGGAATGGAAGCAACTGCCAATTGGCAAGTACCTGTATTAGGTAAAAGCAAGAGCAGTTTGCTAAATACCTTTCCATGAACACATGATTTCAGACAGGAACTTTGAGGAGAAAAGAGGCAGAATTCACCCTAACTCTCAGTGTGTGAATGTGCTTGTCACTCATGTTGCTCTCCCTTTAATACCTTTTCTCTGGCCGGCACGGTGGCTCACGCCTGTAATCCCAGCACTTTGGGAGGCCAAGGAGGATGAATCACCTGAGGTCAGGAGTTCGAGACCAGCCTGACCAACAAGGTGAAACCCCGTCTCTACTAAAAATACAAAAATTAGCCAGACGCGGTGGTGGATGCCTGTAATTCCAGCTACTCAGGAGGCTGAGGCAAGAGAATCGCTTGAACCTGGGAGGTGGAGGTTGCAGTGAGCCAAGACTGCCATTGCACTCCAGCCTGGACAACAAGAGTGAAACTCCATCTCAAAAAAAAAAAAAAAAAATACCTTTTCTCCAAGGAAGTTCGGGTCTACCAGGTTTAGGGGCAAAGGGCAGAAAGAAATACTTTGTTACACGATCTCTCAGAACCTCCTCCTGGTCAGATCTTGGGTGCTATTAACTCAGCTTTCTTTGCTATTCCTGACAAAACAATATCCCATCGGCTTATCAAGTTTACACCAGTAAATAAAAGTTAAGCTCCATGTAAACCACTCAGCCTCACCAGAGTGTCCAAGGAGCCATCAGAGACCCCTGTGGAGAGATGTGGTCCTTCTCAGAGACCACGATTAACTCATGCTTTTTATAAAACTAGGTAGAAAATTCAAAATAATTGGATTTACTACTGTGAGACTCACCACCAGCCCACTTATGGAAAATTCCACTTTGCGGGAACCAAGCTACTTTATATTGATTTAGAGCAAGTATTCCTGGCGAACGGAAAGACTCGAGAGACTTCAAAAAAACAAAAAAAGAGTTTCAGAAACCTTTCATCTTGTTTTTAAAACAATTAAATTGCCCATTTTCCTTACCAAAGAAGAGAGAAGAACAAGGCGTAACCAAGGGGACTGAAACTAAGACAGCAGCTGTCTTGTGGGTGTGGGGCTCGTGGTAATCAATCTTCATGCTCTTCTGAAGTAGAAAAGAATTTTCCCTTTCCCGAGCCCCAAGGACGTGCCAAGAAGCAGTTTCTGCTGAGAGGGTGGAGGAAACGGCGAAGCCCTTAGCCTCCTAGGAAGCCCACGTTCAGGGTGCTTTGCTCACCTCCATGGAAGTCTGTGTGGCCTCTCCTCTCTGTCCTTCACACATGACCCCTCCAGTGGGCGGAGGACGGTGACACATCAGGAGGGAGCAGCCTGGGGGACAGGGGCAGTCCTCGATGCCAGAAGATAAAAGCCAACAGTCCAGCACCAGGCCGGGTATAGTGGCTCACGCCTGTAATCCCAGCACTTTGGGAGGCTGAGGTGGGCGGATCACGTGAGGTCAGGAGTTTGAGACCAGCCTGGCCAACATGGTGAAACCCCGTCTCTACTAAAAATACAAAAATTAGCCAGGCGCGGTGGTGCATGCCTGCAGTCCCAGCTACTCTGGAGGCTGAGGCAGGAGAACTGCTTGGACCGAGGAGGTGGAGGTTGCAGTGAGCCAAGATTGCACCACTGCACTCTAGCCTGGGCAACAGAGCAAGACTCTGTCTCAAAAAAAAAAAAAACAAAAAAAAAAAAAACTGAAAATACTGAATTTACTCTAAAAAACAAGTCTGTTATCTCAGATCCAGCATGGAATCAGAGGACAGGATTATAGGCTGGGCTCTGTGCCACAGTAAACTAGAGGATTCATTACCTTGCCTATGCCTCAGTTTCCTGTCTTGATGGGCACATGCCACTGTGTCCTAGAGTTACGCCTGCAAGGAAAAGAACTGGAGCTCAATTTGGAAGAGTTGCACATGGCCTCTCATTGTAAACAATGCCAGTAGGTATCTGTGTCCAGGGTTAGACGCTCAGATCACAGCTGGTCTTCCGGTCCTTGAGGAACTTCCACCAGGAAGTGGGACGAAGCGATGCCCCCCCTGCTGGTGGGGGAAGGAACACCAGCTACTAAATCAAACTGTAATCAAGTTTCTAACAGTTTGCGACACTGCGTATCAGAGAAGACACGAGAAGATTTCTCTCAAACAGTGAGAGAGAAAGATGACATTTCTACCCAGCAGTGGCCTTTTCAGAGATGCTAAACAGAACTTAAAGATCAGGAAAAATAAAATTAAGCTTCGTGTTGTTGCAACCCCAGACACACATTTCAGTAGAGAATTTGGCCTCAGTAAGAATGACATCAAGACAAGGAGGTGATACTGAATGTGCTGGGTCAGGTCAGCTTCCTGTCAGTAGCAGAATTTGCAGCAGCAGGGATATTAAAAAAGAAAAAATTAAGACAATGAGGGACTTTTACCAGGAGCATCTTGATAAACAGCTGCTGCTTCACCCAGGTTTCCAGTATTGCAATCCAGACTGTTGGCAAGTAAAAATCAGGCTGAAACACAGGAGCGTTCTCTGCCTGAAGTCTGTCTTCCATCCAAAGTCACAGAAGAAGAGCAGAAGGCTTTTGGGACAGCTCTGATCTTTTCTGTTGGGATAGCCTCCTTCTCTGGTCTCTATCAGCCTTCACCTAGAGCTGTCATTCATGAGGAATGAATTGCCTCTAGCAATAGATCAGGATGGCAAAAAAAAAAAAAAAAAAAACAATTAAATTAAAAACATATCACCAGGCCAGGCATGGTGGCTTACGCCTGTAATCCCAGCACTTTGGGAAGCTGAGGCCGGTGGGTCACCTGAGGTCAGGAGTTTGAGACCAGCCTGGCCAACATGGTAAAACCCTGTCTCTACTAAAAATATAAAAACCAGGTGCAGTGATGCGTGCTTGTAATCCCAGCTTCTCGGGAGGATGAGGCAGGAGAATCGCTTGAACCTGGGAGGCAGAGGCTGCAGTGAGCTGAGCTCGTGCTACTGCACGCCAGCCTGGGCAACACAGCAAGACTCCGTTTCAAAAAAAAAAAAAAAAAAAAGTATCGCCAAAGAGCAGCTTACCCTGATCTGTCCAGTAGCCTCGAGTTTCACCACAGGCATGAGAAGTCCCCATGAAAGCACCATACTGGTATGTAATTACCATTCTCATCTGAGCTGGGACTGCTGTTTAAATGCTCCCAAAGCCAATCATGGAGGAGTGAGGCTAAGGAACGGGGAGGGAGTAGAAGCTGGGGCCACTGGGCTTTTGAAATGTGGGAGGGCCTTGGAACTCCGCGGGATGGAGGAAGTCAACTGTGCCAAGGAAGGCATTTCAGAGCAATGTGGCCACAAACGGCACTGCTGTGCGGCCCTTCTGGGGTCTCCCATGGGGGCCTACCTGCTGTGTGATCACGGCGTGACGCCTACTCTGTACTTAAGTCAAGCCTTTCTTGTGAAATCTGATTAAGAAGACTGCCGTAGTCATTCCAGGGTTTTGGTTTTTAATCATGACAAAGAACAAATGGAGCTCCACAATGCTGCCCTCCCCCTCTTTCCCACCACGACAAAACGTGACCTCCCTCCCACATCAAGTATCTAAAGAAGCAATTCCACAAGGAAGAAAAGTGCCTTAAAAACACTGTGTTCAGAGCGACTCTGTGGGACTGCCATGTGTGGGATGGGGCTCCTCAAAGCCAGGCTGGGTTTACGTCGCCCACGTGCGATGAGTCAGGTCCACGAAGAGGAGCAGGCCCTACAAGTCTCCCCACTTAGGGGGCCCTGTCCTCTCCAACACCGGGGGTCTGGCTGCAGCCCACGGTGTGATAAAATGTTCGCTGTGGGCTGTCACCAAGTGGCTGTTGAGAAAGAGAGAAAACTCTCATCTGGATGTTCCACCTACTCATCTGTGCCCTGTATGACAATTTCTCAGTTACATAAAACCCTGTTGTGACACTAACAGTCGGAGAGGATGAGAACAATGATGTAATGCTTATAGTCATGGACCAAAATATGGTATTTAAGTGAGAAACAAATAAAAAGCAAGCTCTGTTGGGGAGCAACCACATCGAGGAGTGAAGACGAAAGGACTGGGAACAGAGGCGCTATGGGGAAAGATGAAAAGAATCGAGATCACTCAGAAGACAGACGCTGGGGAGGTCCATTGACTGAATCCTTCTTCTTGGCTGTACGGAGTGAAGACAGGAACAATGATGGCCAGTATCCTTGACACGTAGATATTTACATACTTAAAGGATGCCAACTCACAAGTCTATAGAAACACACAATGTTAAAACCAGAAAAAAAATTTACAGGAGATATTTAGCCCAGCACATTTATTTTATATACAAGAAACTGAGAATCCCCAAGTTTAAGTGAAAGGCACAGGCCTCCTTCATATCTAATCAATGGCAGACAGAGGAGGACGCTTACATTCAAGTCCCCTGCTGGGTGGCTTTGAGGATAGAGGTCCTCGCCCCAACACTGTGCTGGCTGGAACCCCTGGTTTCCAAGAGCTCATCATAATCCCACGCCCCACATCAACTTCTAGAAGTGCAGTGATCCCTGAATTAACACCAATCCTCTAACTCAGTGAAAAAATACACCGAGAATGTTGACCAACTGTTCTCCATCTCCTTTTAGAGAAGAACAAGATGAAACACGTTTAAACTATTTTAGGCAAGTTAAGGCCGAGTTAGACCAAAGATATCTATCGTGGCTTTGCAGCCAACATGGCAACTAAGTTCCAGAAGGAAATGAACGATTCCTTCCCCGACAGCCTCAGGAACATAACAGTCAGCCACCATCTAAAGCATCAAGGTGCAGGTCTGCTTCTAGACAGAACGATGGACCAGCTGTACATGTTCCTTCTTATTTCTGAGTGACATCCGTAATGGAATAGTGTGGCTGTGGTTGTGCACTCCACATAAAATACTGCTAGGTGATGAACTGTCACTGAATAAGGCTCAAAAAAAAAATTCTCAACTAGGCACAGTGGTTAATATCTGTAATCTCAGCACTTTGGGAGGATGAAGCAGTAGGATCACTTGAGCCCAGGAGTTCAAGACCAGCCTGAGCAACAAAGTGAGACCCTGTCTCTACAAAAAAATTCAAAAATTAGCCAGGTGTGGTGGTGTGCACCTGTAGTCCCAGCTCTGCAGGAGGCTGAGGTGGGAGGATCACCTGAGCCCAGGGGATCGAGGCTGCAGTGAGCTATGATCATGCCACTGCACTCCAGCCTGGGGGACAGAGACCCTGTCTCTTGAAAAAAGAAAAGATAAAGATAGAAAACAGGCCATCCTCCACCAAATAGAAGTTTCTCATCTGTCTTGTCAATTACGTGATTGATACGGATGTTTTCTGTCACTTCCTACTGATGTTCAGTGATTCAGATATTTTAATTAATGCAGCTGAGCAGGCAATATACATAATTTTACTAACTTCCTTAGCTCTGACTTTTATCTCTTATTGCCGAGACCAAGGGGAATGTTATACTTGACTTAATTAAATGGATTCCCAATCTTGGTCAATACCATATTGAGAGCCACCATGGTATCCTGAGGAGCCACTTTCCACCAGATGGGCCCATCGTTTCTCCTAAATGATCACCAAGTACAATTCCACCAGCCCTCTCTCGAGGCTCAGTGAGTCTGTTCATTTCTCCCAGATCCTCCAAGAAGCAGCCCGTGACTCTGGGCCTCTGCTCCCCCTGCCTGCTCTGCACCTGTGACTCTCCTTACTTTTGCTCAAGTCCTACCCTTCCTCCAAATCCATGTCCTCCAGGAGTTTTCCCCTGGTCATTCCAACCCTTGATGAACCCTCTCATTCCCGTATTTTTTTAGAGATGGGGTCTCACTCTGTTGCCCAGGCTGGAGTGCAGTGGTGTGCTTATAGTTCGCCGTTGCCTCAAAGTCCTGGGCTCAGGTGATCCTCCTGCGTCAGCCTCCTGAATAGCTGGGACTACAGGTGTGTGCCACCACACCCACCTACTATTTTTTTAGAGAGACAGGGGTCTTACTATGTTGCCCAGGCTGGTCTCAAACTCCTGGACTCCAGTGATCCTCTCACCCTGGCCTTCCAAGGTGCTGGGATTATAGGCATGAGCCACTGTGCCCAGCCTTCACACCTGTATTTTAATGTTGCTTCTGAAATACACTGCCTCACATGAATCTGTGTGGCCCATCTACCACAATCTACTGCAGAACCTGTTGGTGTTAGCAGAGCCAGCCCTATGAGCCGCCCACATCTCAGTGACATGGATGGGGATGCCCACCAACTCCTGCTATCAGTGAAGTGATGTGCCGCCTCCACAGGCCACAGTCCTTGCAAAGGGTGTGTACAATCCAGGCAGCCGCCACATGTAAAAGGGTGAAGTTCCAAGTGCTTATAGTCCTCTTGCCTCCTCCTAAGGCACCCTGTGCATTGGGATACTTGGGGAAAAAGCACCAATTTCGGTTTCATTGTTAGAGAGCTCATTTAAATTGAAGTCATAGCTTCATGTCGGCAGAATTAACTATTCAGCTGAATAGTCATTTAGATAATAATCAAATGGTGATTCACAAATTGAAACCAACACTTCGACCTATCAAAAGTCTGAACTCAAGCTATAAACCTATAGATTGCCCTGAGGGGAATGGAAGCTTTTCCTCATCTTTATTCACACATTTCTTTCTAAATACAAAGACACCATGCTAGGCTGGGAACAGACAGCAGCGTCCTGCCCCTGGCTTGGGCCCAGGGGACAGTGTGGTCCCTGAATCACAAGTGGCAGCTCTCTCTCCCTCCTCCCTCGCAGCTGCCAAATGGGGCTGGGCTCTGCCCTGCTCAGATGGAAAACTTTCCAGCAGTTTCTTTGCTCAAGGTTCAAAATGGTGTCCCAAGAGCCTTGCAGGGAGAAGCCATGGCTGCGGAAGGAGGTGAGTGGCTGGGGCGAGCCCCACGGTGGACATCATGCTGGTGTACTTACCAAGACCCGTTTCACCTTCTTCCTGCCATTCCTCTGACCACAGGGCCACCACACTTAATTAATAGTTCAACCAGGGCCAGGAATGGTGGCTCACGCCTGTAATCCCAGCACTCTGGGAGGCCGAGACAGGTGGATCACCTGAGGTTGGGAGTTCGAGACCAGCCTGACCAATATGGAGAAACCCCGTCTCTAATAAAAATATAAAATTAGCCTAGGGCATGGTGGCGCATGCCTGTAATCCTGGCTACTCGGGAGGCTGAGGCAGGACAATCGCTTGAACCCAGGAGGCAGAGGTTGCAGTGAGCTGAGATCGTGCCACTGCACTCCAGGCTGGGCAACAAGAGCAAAACTCCGTCTCAAAAAAAAAAAAAAAAAAAAAAAAAAGTTCAACCAAATCCTCATCTTACTTGACTCAGTAGCAGCAACTGACATGTGATAACTTCTATGTGAAGCACTTTCTCCATGTCTGACGGGGAGCACGCCACTCTCCGCCAGCACTCTTTCTACTTCACCCACTGCCCCTTCTCTGTCTTGGTATCCTCTGCGGGATCCAGCTTGTCCCCCTGACCTCTCCACCCTGATGTCCCCAGGACTCAGCTCTGGGATCTTTCCTCTCCTTCATTGCCTATCCCGGTTCACGGCTTTAAAACGCAGCCATAAATTAACATCTCCCAAATCTAGTTGATCCTCATTACTCAAGGATTCTCTATCTGCAAATTTGCCTACTGGCTAAAAGTTATTTGCAACCCCCAAATCAATACTTTGTGGTCATTTGTGGACATGCATAGAGTGACCAAATACTTGAGCTGCCTGATGTGCAAGTTTCAAGCTCAGGCGGAATGAGGTGGTGCTCCTTCTTCATGTTTCAGCTCAGACTGTAAACGAGGGTCTTTTCTCACCCTCTATTTGGTGTCGTGTTTTTCACATTTTTGTGTTTTGTTGGAGATCTCCCTGTTTACAACAGCCCCAAGCATAGTGCTGAAGTCTGTCTAGCTTTCCTAACAGCAAAGAAGCCGTGATATGCCTTTCAGAGAAAATCGGTGGGTTAGAGAAGCTTCCTTCAGGCAGGAGTTACGGTGCTGTGGGCTGTGAATCGATGTTAATGATTCAATAACATATATTCAATAAGGTGTCTTTAAACAGAAACACACATTCTGAAAAGGTCATGTACTGATTGGTTGATGAAAATGTGACCAGAGGCTCACAGGAACCCAGCCTGTGTTTCCCTTAGGAGCAATGGTTCAGTATTGATTAATTCAGTGCTTTCAGCTATTTGCTATAACAGAACATGATGACTACGAACAGCGAGAATCGACTGCACATAGTTCCAGGGTCATGTTCCAGCTGCCCTCTTGGCTTAGTCAACTTTAACAAATTGAAACCAAGCTCCTCCTAAGGCATCTGCAATCTGTTCATCCCACAGGCTCTTCCACCTCCAGCAAAGACAACTGCACCCTCCCAGGGTTATCAGGCCCAAAAACCTTTGAATTATCCTTGCCTTCTTTCTTTCTCTCAAACCCTACTTTCAATCTTTCAGAAAACCTTGAGGACACTGCCTTTGAAATATACCTGACATCTGATAGCTTCTCATCACTTTTGTTGCTACCAATACGACCTAAACCCTTTCACCTGATCAATGCCTGAGCCTTCTCACAGTCTCACCTGATCAATGCCTGAGCCTTCTCACAGTCTCACCTGATCAATGCCTGAGCCTTCTCACAGTCTCACCTGATCAATGCCTGAGCCTTCTCACAGTCTCACCTGATCAATGCCTGAGCCTTCTCACAGTCTCACCTGATCAATGCCTGAGCCTTCTCACAGTCTCACCTGATCAATGCCTGAGCCTTCTCACAGTCTCACCTGATCAATGCCTGAGCCTTCTCACAGTCTCACCTGATCAATGCCTGAGCCTTCTCACAGTCTCACCTGATCAATGCCTGAGCCTTCTCACAGTCTCACCTGATCAATGCCTGAGCCTTCTCACAGTCTCACCTGATCAATGCCTGAGCCTTCTCACAGTCTCACCTGATCAATGCCTGAGCCTTCTCACAGTCTCACCTGATCAATGCCTGAGCCTTCTCACAGTCTCACCTGATCAATGCCTGAGCCTTCTCACAGTCTCACCTGATCAATGCCTGAGCCTTCTCACAGTCTCACCTGATCAATGCCTGAGCCTTCTCACAGTCTCACCTGATCAATGCCTGAGCCTTCTCACAGTCTCACCTGATCAATGCCTGAGCCTTCTCACAGTCTCACCTGATCAATGCCTGAGCCTTCTCACAGTCTCACCTGATCAATGCCTGAGCCTTCTCACAGTCTCACCTGATCAATGCCTGAGCCTTCTCACAGTCTCACCTGATCAATGCCTGAGCCTTCTCACAGTCTCACCTGATCAATGCCTGAGCCTTCTCACAGTCTCACCTGATCAATGCCTGAGCCTTCTCACAGTCTCACCTGATCAATGCCTGAGCCTTCTCACAGTCTCACCTGATCAATGCCTGAGCCTTCTCACAGTCTCACCTGATCAATGCCTGAGCCTTCTCACAGTCTCACCTGATCAATGCCTGAGCCTTCTCACAGTCTCACCTGATCAATGCCTGAGCCTTCTCACAGTCTCACCTGATCAATGCCTGAGCCTTCTCACAGTCTCACCTGATCAATGCCTGAGCCTTCTCACAGTCTCACCTGATCAATGCCTGAGCCTTCTCACAGTCTCACCTGATCAATGCCTGAGCCTTCTCACATCTCCTTCCTCCACCCTACCCCCACCATCTATCCTGATCCCAGCTCGTGTCCTAGAGCAGCGATCCCCAATTTTGGCACAAAGAACCCGTTTCACGGAAGACAATTGTTTCAAGGATACGGTATTGGGGATGGTTTCAGGATGAAACTGTTCCACCTCAGATCATCAAGCATTATTAGAGTCTCAAAAGGAGCGCGCAACCTAAATCTCTTGCGGGCACAGATCACAACGGGGTTCAAGCTCCCATGAGAATCTACTGCTGCTGATCTGACAGGAGGCGGAGCTCAGGCAGGAATGCCCACCAGCCTGCCTCTCACTTCCTGCTGTGCAGCTCGCTTCCTAACAGGCCCCGAATCAGTATCAGTCCAAGGCCCAGGGGTTAGGAACCCCTGTCCTAGAGGGAAGCTGTTAAAAACAATATGTCACTGCCTTAACACAGAAGCATCCCACGGCATCCTATCACCGAGTAGAAGCTAAAGTCTATACGACGATTTCCAAGTCCTGGTCCACATACCCCTGCTCAGGACTTCTCCGACTGTCTCTCCTATTCCTCTCCTTCCTGCTTCCCCTGCTCCCTGCTGCTTGCCCACATTCTCCTGCCTTCAGGCCTCTGCACTGGGCCTGGAATGCCCTCCAGATACCTGCATGGTCGGTTCTCTCGCTCCTATCAAATCTTTACCACGGCCACCCTCTTAGTGAGGGCTGCCTGCACACTGTAGTTAAAATTGCCACCACCCTCTGAACACACAAACTTCTTATCATCTTTTCTGCTTCATTTTTCTCCATAGTACTTAAGGCCACCTAACACACGAATGAACTTAGCTATCAATATTTGCTTTATAGCCTATGTCTCTCTCACTCAGATGTAAGTGCCACTAGGGAGGGGATTTTTATGTTTTATTCTTCTATTTCTATTGATGTACCCGCCCCCCTCCCCCCGCACCAGTGCCCAGAACAGAAGGTAGGCAATAAATAAATAATTCTTCAAGGGCTGAATGATGTAGCCCTTAGCATACATTAAGCTGACCTGTTTGCTTTCTCTCTCATAATACTGAGGTCAGAATTTGTACCTTATTCACATTTGTATTCTCTCATTTTTTTGTTTTTGAGATGAGTCTCACTCTATTGCCCAGGCTGGAGTGCAGTGGCGCAATCTCAGCTCACTGCAACCTCTGTCTCCCAGGTTTAAGTGATTCTCCTGCCTCAGCCTCCTGAGTAGGGAGGCTGGGATTACAGGCGCCTGCCACCTTGCCTGGCTAATTTTTTGTATTTTTAGTAGAGACAGGGTTTCACCATATTGGCCAGGCTGGTCTGGAACTCCTGACCGCAGGTAATCTGCCTGCCTCTGCCTCCCAAGGAGCTGGGATTACAGGCATGAGCCACCGCCCCCGGCCCATATTTGTATTCTCAAACCAAACATTGTACACTTGGCCCTTGTATCCATGGATTCAAAATATGCGGATCCACAGATCAAAAATATTTGAAAAAACAATACAAATAATACAAATAAAAACAATACCTATGACAACTATTTCCACAGCATTTACATTGCATCAGGTATTGTAAGCAATCTAGCAAGGACAGTACACAGAGGCCACGCCTAGGTTATATGCAAATACTATGCCATTTCATACCAGGAACTCGACCATCTGAGGATGCTAGTATCTGCAGAGGGTGAAGTATCTTGGAACCCAGCCCCTGTGGATACCATGGGACGACTGCACAGAGTACACAGCAGGAACTCAATAAATGCATGCTGAGTGAATGGAAGGGGAAGAGAGAAAGAAAACATGGCTAAGATTCATGATCTGTGTGTTTTTACTAAATTCAGTAAGTGTCTGCACAAAGATTTCATGAGACTCACAGTGCAGTGAGAGACACAGATTGATACGAACCCTAATGCAATGTGATCACACCATGACAAGGAAAGCGTCATAGAAAGAACCAGGATGTCAAAGGAGAGGACAAGGTGACAGGAAAGCAGTCAAAGGAGGTAACATTTAAATTGGGCTTTGGTGGCTGAATAGGAGCTTGCCATGCAGACTGCAAGGGAGGAAACAGCCCAAGCTCAGCTGCTAACTGCCTAAGGGATGTCCTCTAGATACAAGCTCTTCAAAGCAGCCCCTTCCCTACTCTGAAGTTGTGTCCCCTCCACACGACTCACTCCAGAGGGGCACTCTTGGTGGAGTTTCAGCGCTCAGTCAACACAAACCAATAGAAGAACGCCACTGCTACAGTCCTCCTCTCCCCCAGCCTCCTCCAGGACAACCTGGTATCTCACAACACCATTACCCAATGGCTCCCACTGGCTGCCATTTAGAGTAGCAAGAGCGATGGACTCTTCTCAACACCATTCCCGACACGTCAGTGCCAGACACAGCAATCAACAGACTCAGACCCCGCAGATGGCAGCCACTTAGAAACCAGAAAAACTGCCATTCCGTGGGCTTTGCCAAAACACAGAGCAGTAAAACTCAATTTAGAAAGTGCTGGAGCTTTCCAGCCAAACATGAGAAGCACGTGATGCGTACGTAGCTAGGGGCCGTCACTGGTTGTCAGAGCATTTAAATCACAGCCCAAGGGTCAACTTCCTGAAGGGAAGAGATGGGCAGGCCACAGTATCAGCACCTTCTCAGCCTGGGGAGACTGCTGAAAAGAGAACCAGCATCATGACCTAACAGACCTTTTCATTTTCTAATGTCTGGGATTCCCGATAGTTGGAACAGGCTCTCCCCACTCAGCTTGTCTCGTCTCATGTATTCACGGCTTCCCTGATGGCTCAGATCGAGCTGGAGAAATTCCATGAATATACCACACACACTCTTTCCTCCCGTCACCACCCCAGGCACATGTCCCCCAGGCAGGGACCATGCTATTCCTGCAACCGTTATCACGCTATCTTAGAAGAGATGATCGACTACTATGTTGTTGATTTCTATCAAAGCCTATACTGGCTTTTTTTTTTTTTCCTGAGATAGCATCTCGCTTTGTCACCCAGGCTGGAGTGCAGTGGCGCAATCTCAGCCCACTGCAACTTCCGCCCCCCAGGTTCAAGCGATTCTCCTGCCTCAGCCTCCCAAGTAGCTGGGACTACAGGTGTGAGCCACCATGCCTGGCTAATTTTTGTATTTTTAGTAGAGATGGGGTTTTGCCATGTTGGCCAGGCTGATCTTGAATTCCTGGACTCAACTGACCCAACCACCTTGGCCTCTCAAAGTGCTGGGATTACAGGCGTGAGCCACTGCACCTGGCCATGCACTGGACCTTTCAAAAATGAGCAGAGCAACCTCTTCTTCTGTGCCTTCTGCATACACACGATCCAGGGAATTGAGCCCCCCTGCGATGGTGTCCACACAGCTCCTCCCCAGCCACGTTTCCACCCCTGCATCTCCCCGCTTCTAAACCCTGCTGCTTCTTTCCCTTCCCCTTATTTTGTTCTCTGCCCGCCTCAGCCTGCTCTTGTCTTTCCTCCTCTGAGTTACTCTGAAAATGAACAGCTATGACACTTGAGCTTGACATGGCTCTGTAATTATATGCAAGGACCTGAAAGGCCACAAAGTGGCCCCAAGGTCATCTGGAGTTTCCCACAATACCCCTTGTATCTCCTTTAGTTTGAGGCCGGCTCTCCTCAGCCTGCCTGGGAAGGTTCTGTGGATGTCCCCAAAGACCCACAGGGTGATGCTGGTCACATAACATACCTCCTCTCTCAGGTGGGCTCAATGGCTATTCTCATGAAGAAAGGTCACCGCACTTCGCATGACAAGAACTTAGCCTCACTCAGGCGCGGCGGCTCATGCCTGTAATCCTGGCACTTTGGGAGGCTGAGGTGGGCGGATCACCTGAGGTCAGGAGTTTGAGACCAGCCTGGCCAACATGACAAAACCCTGTCTCTACTAAAAATACAAAAATTAGCCTGACATGGTGGCAGGCGCCTGTAATCCCAGGTACTCGGGAGGCTGAGGCAGGAGAACCACTTGAATCCAGGAAGCGGAGGTTGCAGTGAGTCGGGATTGCGCCACTGCACTCCAACCTTGCAACACAGCTAGATTCAGTACCCTACCACACCCCCCACCCCCCACAAAAAAGAAAGAATTCAGACTCAGACTTCATTTTCCATAACTCTTTTCCAACCTCATCTTTTTTCTTGCTCTCAGACATCCCTAGCTCGTACCCTCTCCCAGCCTTCAGGCTTTCGCACAAACTGGTTACTCTTCCTGGGATGCTGTCCTGTAACTCCCACATGGCTGGCTTCTTCTTGCCACTGAGACCAAGGCCCAAGTCTCCTCCCTGTCCTCTCAGCCCAGTCCTGATTCCTTGTCACTCCATGGCAGGCCCCCAGGTTTAGTTTCTTCATAGTACTCAAGATCTGAAATGACCCTGTTTGCTTACTTGTTCCAACTAAAATGTAAGCTCCATGAGGGCAGGCACCGTGTCTGTGTCATTCACTGCCTTAACCCCAGTGCCTGGTACAGCATCAGGTACATAGTAGCAACTTTACATACATTTGCTGAATGAATGAAGGAATGCATGAATACGCTGATGTCAATGAAGGTCTCAGAACAATCACAAGTATTCTAATGGTGTTTCTCCAGGACCCCGGAAGTCAAAAGATGAACATCAGAATCCAAGTGTTCAGATCCGTCAGTAGTTTCCTCTGCATTTTGGATGTTTAGTACAAAGAATTGGGGGTTGTGATTTAAGGAAAAACTTGAATGCCTAGCATCGCAGTACAGATCAGGGTTAACTGATTGATGAGAGTGACTTGGTCAAGGTCTGAACCAGGTTCCTCCATCAATGTTCCTATCTCAGTAATTGGAATAAAAAGTTTTCTTGTGTGTGCACCTTACTGTTATCTCAGTGTCTCATTGTAAATCCCTCAGAAACAGATGTATGCAGTATCTCTGGAAATGGAACCTGGGATTCATCCAAATTAACTCCCAGCCTCCAGTCAGGCCCACAACCAAATCAAATGGGATTTCTACCCAACTGTGCAAAAGTTTTCAGGGGAAATCACTTCCCTGCTATGAATTATTCATTCCAGTGTCCCTCAATCTTTTTATTCTTTCCCCCAGGGGAAGTGAAGGCAGCTGTGATTACATGCCAAGCTCATATGTTTCACACAACTGATGAGTTGACACGTGGTGACACCACACATGAGGACATCACACACACACGGGCACATGTGTGCACATGCACTGTCCTTACCGACATAGCCTGGAGTTCCACAGGCAGTGGACATCACATCTCCTTTGCCCTCCATTTTTGACAATCCAAAGTCACTGATCATTATTTTGGACTCCTCATCTTGACTGTAGTACAAGAGATTTTCGGGCTAGAAAGAAAATAAGAAAAAAACATTACAAACTACGTGTAAAGCTGGGTTAATTGTGGAAGACTCATTCAGCTGCAAAACCTATTCACAACGTCAGGACGTCCTTGACCTTTGGACACAGTAGATGCATCAACTAAAGCGGCGGCCAATAGAAACAGTGCAGAGCGCCCGGCACAGTGTGTCTGGCACACACAGGCTTTCAATCAACGTTAGTCTCTTTCCTTTACTAATATTTTGTCTACTTTAAAAAACTCACCATATTCTGAGGCAATCTAGAAAGCCGATTGCTTTGCAGACTTGTGGATTTACGTCTGGGGTTAGGGAAGGGAGATTCCAGGAAATGAAGTAACTCTTGCAGGTGCTTCTCTGCTCCTTTTTATGAGTGATTTTTCTTGAATCCAAGGGTCTCTGTTTCTGCCCTCAGCAACACGCCCTGCTGCCCTGCAGTTCTGGGAGATGTGCTGCACTGCACCCTTCATGAAGGCCAGCTGACCCGTGCTCGCTCCCCTGCCAGGAAAGCAGAGGGATGCCATCCCGGAATAAATGAATCTGGAATTGGAAGACGCAGCACTTCCAGCCATGTACCCTTAAGGGGTCCGCACTTCTGTTTGCCTTTCTGTGAAGCATGGGTTGATTTCATCCTTTGTCTGTTCCTCTGAACAGTGCTTGGGCAGCAGGAATGCACAGCAAAGGCCTTCTTCCATTTCTTATGGCCCCCGTGTTCCTGTCTTCACTACAGTTCTGCAACATACAGGAGGGGCTGAGAGTAGCAGTCCTGGGGTTGGCATGGGAACCAGTGAAGTATCATTTGCATCGTGTTTTATGTAGAATTGGGGAATCTCATTGTTCCTAGCAAGGAAGCAGGGGTGGGTCTTATGGAGGCTGAGAAGCTACAGCCTTGGACTTGTCCTTGCACTGCTGCGTGGGCCTTGAACACAAAGAGGAGCCTGCATTTTTTTTTTTTTTCTGAAGAGCTGCTGGACTTGATGACTCCTGGATTCATCATCATGGTGACGATTTATCACGGGGGGAGACGATGTCAAGGACTGTCATCTCTGCTGTTGTCCAGGAATGTCCACCCTCCAGGATAATCCTCACCCAGTGAATGAGGAATCGTTTCTGTCATTTACACCAAACCTTAAAGGGAGCGCAGCACGAAGAATCTGACATGGGAAAGGCACTTTCCCACAGCATTTCCCATCCAGCTCTCCTCCCCCGCCCCAGCGGGGACAGCCACATTCTCTCTCCTCAGGGGTTTGTGGTGAACCTTGGGTTTCAGACTTTAGAAACTATTCTTATGTAGAGTGTGAAAGGAAAATAAATCTCAGGACCCCAAAATCACTAAGCCGGAGGGAAAAGTCAAGCTGGGAACTACGCAATCCTGCCTCCCATTTTACTCCTAAATAACATAGCTACAAAGATAAAAAAGCCACATTCCTCCCTCATGATTCGCCAGTAAGGAAATTCCTTGTGGGCAAAAGACAGACAAACTCAAACTCTGGCCAGGCACGGTGGTTTACACCTGTAATCCCAGCACTTTTGGAGGCCAAGGCAGGTGGATCACCTGAGGTCAGGAGTCCAAGACCAGCCTGATCAACATGGCGAAACCCCGTCTCTACTAAAAATACAAAAATTAGCCGGGCGTGGTGGCACATGCCTGTAATCCCAGCTACTTGGGAGGCTGAGGCAGGAGAATTGCTTGAACCCAGGAGGCGGAGGTTGCAGTGAGCCAAGATCGCGCCATTGCACTCCAGCCTGGATGACAAGAGTGAAACTCCGTCTCAAAATAACTAACTAACTAACTAACTCAAAGTCCTCCCTCTGCTCACGGGAGACAAATACATACCTGATTGCTTCCTCTGCCTTATTGTTTCACTGAGCCAGACTAAAGCGTGAGTGACTATTCCTGTAAAGTGTGTATTCAGTGAAGAACTGATCAGAGACTCAAAAGAAAGCAACTCTTTGTCTCTTATCTACCTAAGACCTGGAAGCCTCTGCTTTGAGTTGTGCCGCCTTTTCATACCTAGCCAATGTACATCTTACACATACTGATTGATGTCTCATGTCTCCCTACAACGTATAAAACCAAGCTGTGCCCTGACCACCTTGGGCACATGTCATCAGGATCTCTTGAGGCTGTGTCATGGGCACATTCTTGACCTTGGCAAAATAAACTTTCTAAATTGACTGAGACCTGGTTAGGCGCAGTGGCTCATGCCTGTAATCCCAGCACTTTGGGAGACTGAGGAGAGGGGATCACCTGAGGTTAGGAGTTCAAGACCAGCCTGACCAACATGGAGAAACCCCGTCTCTACTAAAAATACAAAATTACCCAGGCATGGTGGCGGGCGCCTGTAATCCCAGCTACTCAGGAGGCTGAGGCAGGAGAATCACTTGAACCTGGGAGGCGCAGGTTGCAGTGAGCCGATAGTGCGCCACTGCACTCCAGCCTGGGCAAAAAGAGTGAAACTCTGTCTCAAAAACAAATAAAAAAATAAAAATAAATTGACTGAGACCTGTCTCAGGTATTTTTGGGTTCACAAGAGTGAGCAGACTTGTTTAGAAAAGTGGTCCTCGGCCTGTTGTGCAGCAGAGGCACCTGTGAGGGTATTCACTGGCCAGAGATCTTGCCCTTCAGCGGGTCTGAGATGGGGCCCAGGGCTCTGGATTTCAGAGCTCCACAAGCAGCATTCTGATGTGTCAACATCGCAGTGAAGAAATTTTCAGAACTCACCAAGACTCCCTCCTTGACCAAACTTGAGGCAGGTTCCTCTGACTCCCCTGCTCTCCTAGGCCTTGACCTTGGCCTTGTCTATCCCACCCCTGCCAGGCCTGCGCAGCCCTGTCTTAGCCGGTCTGCTACGTTGGAGAATCCCCCCACCACGGGTATCTGATCAAGTTCTTCACCCACCCCACCCCCACTGACAGGACTCCTGCTGAAGCCAGGCCAAGGTAATTCGGCATTGAGATTGGGGTGATACAGGAGCTAGAAAGAAATTATTTTGCAGATAGTGAGGGTAAAAGAGTCCTCGGCAAGGCTTCCCTTCTAACAAAAAGCAGCCCAATAAATTATTATTTTTTTTTCTAACAAAGAACAGCCTGAAAAATCAAGCTGCAAACATAAATAAGCAAGCTGGAAGCTTTCACTGGTGAATGCCAGCAGCTGTGCCAACAGAAAAGGGCCACCTGGGGGTCAGGCATGTCCAATATGGAGGCTCCATCTCCCTTTTCTTTGTCAGCCACGTGTACGCCACTGCACTCCAACCTGGGGACAGAGGCAACACTCCGTCTCAAAAAAAAAAAAAAAAAAAGAAACAGGCAACGTGGGGCTGGCCAGGCAGAGAACCCATCTGCATCATAAAAGATTAGGGTGGGGATGGCAGGGCACGGGGCCAGGGCTGGGGGAGGAGGGGGGGCTCACACCTGTAATCCCAGCACTTTGGACTTTGGGAGGCTGAGGCAGGCGGATCACCTGAGGTCAGGAGTTTGAGACAAGCCTGACCAACATGGAGAAACCCTGTCTCTACTAAAAATACAAAACTAGCCGGGCGTGGTGGCACATGCCCGTAATCCCAGCTACTAGGGAGGCTGAGGCAGGAGAATCACTTGAACCTGGGAGGCAGAGGTTGCAGAGAGTTGAGATTGCGCCATTGCACTCCAGTCTGGGCAACAAGAGCGAAACTCTGTCTCAAAAAAAAAAAAAAAAAAAAAAAAGATTAGGATGGGGGCAGCCAGCTTTTCATGCCCTATGGAAATGGCACACCTAGCCCTAACTAGTTTTTTGTGTCCTATACAAATGGCACACCTGGTCCAACCAATCTTTTGTGCCTTATGTAAGTCAGACACCACCTCCTCAAGCTCAGCTATAAAACCCCCCTGCATTTCACCACAGACCGGAAACCCGCTTGGGACCCCTCTCTCTACAGGAGAGAGCTCTTCTCTTTCTTTCACCTACTAAATGTCCGCTCTGAAGCTCACTCCTTGTGTGTCTGCATCCTTGATTTCCTTGGCGTGAGACAATGAATCTCGGGTATCACCCCAGACAATGAGGCCACTTCAAAGGCATTAGGGATCTGATGAGATCACGCGGGTGGAAGATTTCAGCTCAACTGATTCAGCAGGATTCTTGCTAAAAACTGGACCTACTGGACAGCCAGAGAGCAGGGTCTAATCAGAAAGAGGACTCAAAGGGGCCTTTGTCAATGTCTAAGTCCTTAGCCTGCCTTTAGCAGGAATCCTGCCAGGTCAGGTTAGCAAAAATCCCCCTAATTTCCCATCCACTACCCCCTCCCCTCTCTTCTTTGGCTATAAATCCCTACTCGTCTAGCTGTATTCCAAGTTGAGCTCAATGGCATTGCAATGGTCTTGAATAAAGCCTTCCTTACCATGTCAAGTGGTGTCAAAATAATTCTGTTCTTTAATAGAAACTAAAGAATAAATACTATCCTTCACCTCAAGTAACAACACAGAAAGGGATGGCAGTTAAGAGTCACTGTGACATTAATTTTGTGGATGAAGCAGGAGATTAGAAGAAAATCAACTGTGCACTGAAGGATGCTTCCAATGAGGTTTTTTTTTGAGATGGAGTCTCTCTCTGTCACCCAGGCTAGAGTATAGTAGCACAATCTCAGCTCACTGCAACCTCCGCCTCTTGGGTTCAAGGAATTCTCCTGCCTCAGCCTCCGGAGTAGCTGGGATTACAGGCATGTGCCACCACACACGGCTACTTTTGTATTTTTAGTAGAGACAAGGCTTCATCATGTTCGCCAGGCTGGTCTCAAACTCCTGACCTCAGGCGATCTATCTACCTCAGCCTCCCAATGTGCTGGGATTACAGGCATGAGCCACCGCACTGGCCCCAATGAGTTTTAAAAGAAAGTAAAGTCGCCAATCAGTTGAAACAAGAATGCTGTCAAGCTTAGAAAAGGGGCGGGAATGCTCGAATCATAAAGACCACATGGTTCATGTTTTCTCTGGAAGTTTAGGGATTATCCTTCACTAAACAATAAGGATCCAATCATGGGTGCAGAGAGAGGACAATGCTGTTGTTTCTGATTTTTTATCTTCCTTGTCCCAGGAGGTGATAAGGAGAGGAGAGTAAGTGATTTCACACTGCTAAACAAGGCATAATCCTGGCAAGGGGTGGCCAAAGGGCTCAGAGCATCGCACATCCCTCCTAGAAAAGATTCATCTGGGTCAATAAAATGCTGTTTTGAAGACCAGTTACGCCCAAGGAGGGTTAAATCAACTGGTCATTCACAGTTTAGATCAATGTTTTTTTTTTTTTTTTTGAGACAAAGTGTCATTCTTGTTGCCCAGACTGGAGTGCAATGGTGCGATCTCGGCTCACTGCAACCTCTGCCTCCCCAGTTAAAGCGATTCTCCTGCCTCAGCCTCCTGAGTAGCTGGGATTACAGGCACCTGCCACCACACCTGGCTAATTTTTGTATTTTTAGTAGAGATGGGGTTTCACCATGTTGGTCAGGCTGGTCTCGAACTCCTGACCTCACGCAATCCACCCGCCTCCGCCTCCCAAAGTGCTGGGATTACAGGCGTGAGCCTCCGCGCCCAGCCAATCAATACTTTTAATTGGCCCAAGACTTGTAAGGACAGCAGGGCTTTTCCTGGGGGAGGAGGGAAGACGGTGGGGGAGAGGCAGGCTCAGGTATCATCTGGGTGGGAGGCCCCATCCCCGATCCCAACAGGAGGGCTGTGGGGGTGGGGGCCACAGGGAGAGGGTCTGGCCCACATTGCATCACAATTCCTCCTGGTGTCCAAAGAGGTCCGGGACTCACTGGAAAAATTAAGTTTTCGGCATATTATGGCATCTTTGCAAGACAACTGGTGGCCAATACCTGAGTTGGAATATCAACCCCAACACTTTATAATAATCCACATAATAAGCTTTAATAAGATCGGAATCAACACACTTCTGGTAACGTTAATGTTATCCATAATCACATTCCTACTCCAGTGATTCTCAACTAGGGGCAATTTTGCCCCCCAGCGGATGGATATCTGGCAATGCCTAGGGACATTTGTAGCTGTTAACAATTCCAGACGTAGTACTCGTATCCATGGGCAGAAGCCAAGGATGCTGCTCTAAATCCCACAGTGCCCAGGGCTGAATGCCAATGGTGCAGGGGCTGAGAAACCCAATCCTAATCCACTGAGGCAGGACCAGGCACTTCCAGTCTCAGTCACTTCATTTTGCAAAAAGAGCAACTGTCTCTAATAGCTTCTCAGGGCAACAAGACATCGCATAGCTTTCTACGAAGAGAAGGAGGTACATTTGCAGGTAGGCTGGGGCAGTATTCCGATTGCTGCACTAAGCTTAAATTAACACGATCATCCTCTCTCTATTGCTCTGGGCTTGGTTATATAGGTTGTTTTAACTTTAATTTTCTTAGCTGTTTACGCAAATTTAGTAGTCCAATTTCAACTTCCTCCTCATAGATCAAACTCCTTTGTGCCTCTGAAAAGAGATCACAGAAAGGTCCTAAAATGGCAGTGTTCTTTACGTAACGACAGGCCCGGTGATCTTAAGGCTCCACAGGATGGAAGCTGCAAAGATTCCTCCAAAAGCATTACGTAGGTTAATTAAAAACATTATCTCCCATACAGCCAATCAGCCTTTCCAAGGGAGAGATAAACACTGCCCCTCCTGGATATGCCTTATTTGCTTAGAAATTATTTTTCTAATAAGTACAGACAGCTAGCCCATCACAGTGCATCCCTGTGGTCACCACACGAACGTGTTCAGAGAGAGCTGCCTATGTGTTCTGGAAGCACAGAACTGGCATTTGTGGGGGCACAAGAGAGCAGAGAAGGCCCGGAGGCCTGGCAGAGGTGCCAGGTCGGCTGAGCTAGCCCCTACCTAGCCCTCTGAAGTATCTCCAGGCCCCGAACATGAGCTGACCACGCCCACAGCCATTTCAGATGTCAAGAAGCCTGCAGAGGATGAAGGCTCAAAGGGATCCACTAAGATTCCCAAATATCCTCGCCCAGTGGTTTTCCAAGAGCAGTTCCCAGACCAGCATCCTCATCACGGGCAGACCTGTTAGAAATGCAAGTTTTCAGCCCCCACCGGAGACCTACAGAATCAGACCACTGGGGATGGGGCAGCAGTCTCTATTTTCATAGCCCTCCAGACAATTCTGATATGGGCGAACATTCGGGAATCACTGCCTGGGTCAATGGAACATGACAACATGCAGAAAAACCATGGTAGTGAGTCTTTATGAAAGAAAAAGCTACACCACTTTATTCCTTAATACCCAGTAGCAGGTAATAGCCAGGTGTGGAAACTCTGTTTATACAAATGTTTATGACTGGTTCTTTAAATTGATTTTGATTTCCCACAGTTGTGTACAGCACAGCTTCAAGATGATATGATCCTCGTGTTTATAATGAGTGGTGGGTATGTGTGCTGGGGTGGAATTTTTGTCTTGACTGGTGCAGTAAGCTCTGGGGGCTGGACCTGTAAACATCCTAGAATGAGGTCACATTGCAGCTTTGGGTCAACCGCACTGCTTTCTACTGTTTCTCAAGTTGATATGTCTGATACCTACCTTTGGTACCATATGTGTGACATCCACCCTTCAGTACTATTGTGTTTGACATCTGTCCTTCAGTGTCTACATAGACCTGCTGGGGAGGGGCATATATGCCAATATAAGGCCCAGATCCTTCTGTGCCAACGGGGAAAGGGTCAATATACCAAAACCTCATTAGGAAACTGTAAGAAAAGAACCTGCAAGACACTATTTTTATTTATTTATTTTTTTTGAGACGGAGTTTCGCTCTGTTGCCAGGCTGGACTGCAGTGGTGCGATCTCGGCTCACTGCAACCTTCGCCTCCTGGGTTCAAACGATTCTCCTGCCTCGGCTTCCTGTGTAGCTGGGACTACAGGCACGCGCCACCACACCCAGCTAATTTTTGTATTTTTGTAGAGATGGGGTTTCACCGTGTTGGCCAGGATGGTCTTGATTTCTTAACCTCATGATCTGCCTTCCTCGGCCTCCCAAAGTGCTGGGATTACAGGCCTGAGCCACCACGCCCAGCCAGTCATAGCTCTTTTAACCTGTCTTTTTCCCTTCTATTTCTCTTCTCCCTCTTCTATATCTGCTTACCTTCTGTTTCCCTTCACTTTCCTCTCATGATGTCTGACCACTGCTCTCTTTCTTTTATACAGTGTGTTGTGCTGCAATGGGGCTGGAATTGGCAAAGGTGCTGCGGAACTGCACCGGGAGGAGGGTTTCTGTAGCCTACGTGTCTTGAGCAAAATCGTCTCTTAGATAGGCTCGAAGCAATATATAACCCACCTCCCTGTAACCCTTTGGCTACATAATGGTTGTAAAAATCTCATGAACAGTGGCCAGCCATGTGAATCTTCATCTTCTTCCAAGATACTTCTGGGTCTGGATCCCAAAGGCCCTGACAACTCAAAGTACACAAATGCCCACCATCTGCTGCACCCACTCTACATCAGAGCAGCTGCATGCCCCCACTGGCATCAGCCCTCTTGGTCGCGTGCATTGCGGGCTGCAGAGTGGCTGCAGGATGCTGCTGAGCGATGGCCTCACCTTGAGGTCTCTGTGGACGATGCCCATTCTGTGGAGATAGTACACGGCGTCCAAGACTTGGCGGATCAGAGTGCTGGCATCCTTCTCTGTATAAAACCCCTTCTCCACTATCCGGTCAAACAGCTCTCCACCGGACACCCTGGCAAAAAAGAACATATTAGAAGTTTGAAAGGATCTGTTGAATTGTGAAGGGAAAGCTTCCAATGTGAAAAAAATCCCAAACTTTATTGCAAAAATGAATCCATCTTCAGATTGAGATGTTGCCCCCCTATTCCTCAGAGGCTATAGCCAGGAAATGTTTCCATGTCACAGCAGAGCAAATGTCTGGAACCAAGTAAAGGAAATTTAAAAAAACACGATCCACGGACCAGCCACACCTGGGTTCTGTCCAGGCCTCTGCCTCTGTTCTGCTGTGATGATGTAAAGTTTAAAAAAACCCTTCCTGAATACCAGCGTCCTCGGATACAGGAAGATGACCCTGAATAAAATGTCTCCTTTGCATGAGACAGTATCCTTAAATGACCGAGAGTGTTGTGGGCAAAACGCTGGCCTGCCAACGGGATGTGTGGGTTTTTGACCAAGTTCTGCTCCTAATATACTGGGATACGAACACCGCCTGAATCCCTGGACCTTGATGTTTTTATGTGTAAAATTAGGGGATGAATCTAGTCACCCATTTCAACAGTGGGTGGGAGCATGCCTTCGGAATGATCAGAACCTCAAAGCCACTTGTGATTTATGAAAAAGCAGGCAAGAAATCAAGACTATATTTCATTACTTTGCTTTGGTTTTAGTGATGCTGTATCCTTTTTATTAGCTTTGCATTTCAGATTGCATTTAACATTTTTAAACATTTTTCAAAATGGGACTAGGTTGGCAAGGGTCAAGAAGCCCTGTGGGGGCAACCTCTCTGGCACCTTTCAGCTCTGATATTTTATGCTGCCCTGAGTTCAACAAAATAATGGAAGTGTACAAGCCAGAATACAAACAACTCAACTAGTGTTCTCCAAATCATCTCAAATCATTAAGCCATCTTGGAAATAAATTTCAAGGGATTTATTAACACTACTGAAAAAAAAGAAAGAAACATTTTTCAAAAACAAGATGAGACAGATTTGAAATGCTAAAATCAAAAAGCAACTTAAATAAACAACCCTTAAAGCTTTCACAGATATAACAAAAGACAAGCCCTACGGTAACACACACTCATACACAAACACACAAAGATAAGATTCATTTTCCAAAAGGCACGACAATTTATGCGCAATAACTGATCCACTGAAACCTTCTTTTAAAAAAACTAATCAAACAACCACTGCAGCCGTAAAAGGCCTATGTGCTTGTCTCTTCCATTACCTATAGTCATAGCAGGCAATATTGTGCTTGGATAATGTTTCATTTCCAAGGCAAACTGACAATCTAGGTAAGAAAGAAAAGGTGCTCAGGAGAAATAAAAAAGCAATTCCAAGAGTGAAAAGAAACGGAAACGACTGGGAGAAACTACATTTTGATGACCGTGTTGTCTCAATGATCCATGCTTAGGTAAGCCAAGAGCCCAAGATACTCCTCCTGACACCAACTTCTCTCCTCTCATCATTTTTCAAGAACCTTCCCCCAACAAGTTTCAACATCTGAAACTTTGCAGAGCTCGAGAATGTACCAGAAGAGGTAGACTGCTGTTAGGGACAAGGTGAGTCTGGGTGCCCTAGAGACATTCACTTCTTATTTTTTCTGAGACAGGGTCTCATTCTGCAGCCCAAGCTGGAATGCAGTGGCATGATCACAGCTCTCTGCAGCCTTGACCTACAGGGCTTAAGCGATCCTCCCACCCTACATCAGCTTCCTGAGTAGCTGGGACCACAGGTACGTGCCACCACACCCGGCTAATTTTTGTATTTTTAGTAGAGACGGAGTTTCACCATGTTGCCCAGTCTGGTCTCAAACTCCTGGGCTGAAGAGATCCTCCCGCCTTAGCCTCCCAAAGTGCTGGGATTACAGGCGTGAGCCACTGCATCCGGCCTGCATTCACTTAATTATTTATTCAACTACTCACTCAACATTTCCTGGGTGCCCATTACATGCCAGTGAGCATGCCCAGTGGGATGCAATCGAGGCAGCTTTCACTCTGAAGGCGGAACGTCTGTTACGATTATGCCCTTCCACATAGGCCCCCTTCCAGTAGCAGCCTCCCTAACTGCTGTCTCCAGGGCTTGCTTCTCACTGTTCTGCCTGCTACTGCCTCCTCTCCTCTGCAACTGCTGGATGACCTCTGGCAAGAACGCTTACCCCTTCCACTGCTCCCACCACCTCCTGCCCTTAGGACCCCATGATCCAAACCTGGCCAACCTGCGTCCCTCAAAACCTACCTGTCCTGCTTCCCATTCTGTCAAGGTCCTCTTTTTTCCCATTATGTGATATATAAGGTATGGACGAATTCTACTGAATGAAAAAATCTGCATAAAATATTTTCTGTCTTACAGCAGTGCCATAGGGCAGCAATGCAGTGAAAACTGAAGCATCAAAGGATAGCATGTACTGTTGCAGAGTCTCAATGCTCTGCACATTTAATATTCTGCTTCTTACATTTCAAACTGCACCAGGGCTCTATTTTTCTGAACACTGCTTGGAAAGAATCTGGTCTCCTTAGAAACCGAGGCACAAGGGGAAAGTTTAGAATCTTGCCAATAAAGAAATATGACAATATGATATTGTCATATATTTTTATGACTAATAAAAATATATTAAATCTGCAAATCTCTTTGTACTTTTCAAAATTCTCCTTAAGCCTGCATTTCAAAAACCTATGGTACTGTTATGGACTGAATGTTTACGTCCCCCAGAATTTATAAGCTGAAGACTTAATTCCCAATGTGATGATGGCGTTTGGAGGTGGGGTCTTTGGGAGGTGATTAGGTTTAGATGAAGTCAAGAGGATGCAGCCGGGTGTGGTGGCTCATGCCTGTAATCCCAGCACTTTGGGAGGCCAAGGAGGCGGATCACCTGAGGTCAGGAGCTCAAGACCAACCTGGCCAACATGGTGAAAACCAGTCTCTACAAAAATACAAAAATTAGCTGGGCATGATGGCGGGTGCCGGTACTCCCAGCTACTTGGGAGGCTGAAGCAGGAGAACTGCTTGAACTGGGGAGGCAGAGATTGCGGTGAGCCGAGATCATGCCATTGCACTCCAGCAATGGAGCAAGACTCCATCTCAAAAAAAAAAAAAAAAAAAAAAAGAGCAGGGCCCCCATGCTGGGATCAGTGTCCCTGTAAGAAGAAGGAGACCAGAACTCTCTCTTTACCATGTGAGGACACAAGGAGAAGGCAGCTGCCTCCAAGGCAGGAATGGAGCCCTCACTATAATCTTCCCACACTAGCACCCTGATCTCAGACGTCCAGCCTCCAGAACTGTGAGAAAATCAATTTCTGTTGTTTAACCCAATCTATATGGTATTTTGTTGTGGCAGCCAGCACTGACTTATTCATAGAGCTAGTTGTGAGGTAGACACTATCCCAGAATCACTGCTGGGGAGATAAGTTTGGCGTCATGGCAACTTCATGTCTCATTTTCAGGCTTGCAGACCATGCTTAGGTTGGCTGTTTGGTTATTGAGCTGACTGAGAGGTTTTTTTTGAGTCAGACAGCTTCTATGTCAAGCCTCCTGTGTGCATGTTTGAAAGCTCCACATCAGAAATGAAGTTCCCCAATTAAAACATGCAAAGCATCAGAATGAAGTTAGAAGGGACAGGGGTCAAGTGATTGGGGAAAAGGAGTACAATCACAGTAATATATCAATAAATTAAAATGAATAAATGAGGCCGGGCACAGTGGCGCACATCTGTAATCCCAGCACTTTGGGAGGCCGGGACGGCTGAGGCTGCAGTGAGCTATGATCGCACCACTGCACTCCAGTCTGGGTGAAGGACCAAGACCCTGTCTCAAAAAAAAATAAAGTGAATGAATGGCATAATAGCTATTAGGAGAGAGGCTCAGCTTCTTAGGATGCAGATCTGGAAAGGTAAACAGGCTGGCAAAGATTAAGGAAGCAGAAGACAGAAGAGATAGTCAAAAATTCTCTACTCTTCTGAATTCCAACTTTGAGGTTTATTTACAACAGCCTGCCTCTGCACTGAACTTGGGTTTGTTCAGTTCTTTTGTTTTATTTTGAGACGGAGTCTCACTCTGTCGCCCAGGCTGGAGTGCAGTGGCATCATCTCGGCTCACTGCAAGCTCCCTGGGTTCACGCCATTCTCCTGCCTTAGCCTCCCGAGTAGCTGGGACTACAGGTGGCCACCACCACGCCCGGCTAATTTTTTTTGTATTTTTAGTAGAGACGGGGTTTCACCGTGTTAGCCAGGATGGTGTCGATCTTCTGACCTCGTGATCCACCCACCTTGGCCTCCCAAAGTGCTGGGATTACAGGTGTGAGCCACCGTGCCCAGCTGTGTTTGTTCAGTCTCTAATCTTCCTTGCCTAAGACAGTATAATGCCATTGTATTGTGTGCAAATTTTAAATATGCAAATATGAAATCGTTTGACATAATAATCTCAGTAAAATTTCAGTATGTTTGCCAAATTTTACATGATCCCATTTCTTTCAAATTAAGAAGTAATTGTCAAAAAACATAACATCATTTTGAAGTTGCTGGACCGAGTAAAACTCAGCTCTGACGACACAGTGGTATACTGCAATGCAGTCTAATAGAGTCAGTATGCAATGTATCCCTTGTTAGTCCTTGGCCAGCCATGCTGTTGCTTACATGCATTCAAAACTTCTCCATCTTGATTTTGGTAGATATCCTGTTATCTTACAATTTACTGCTAATTGTAATTTAAAGTATTTTATGTCTTGAACAATATCAACCACACATTCATTAAAAGGGAGCACTTCTGCTAATGCTGGAAGCAGGCTCCAATAATCCATTCTATTCTAGAATGGAAGCTAGATGTAATAAAATGATATGAAGAAGGCCAAACAGTACAATGCTGTGAGAGCAGTCTGAGAAATACCAGCCATGATGCTAGGGTAATAAAAAGTAGTGGCACAGCAAATATTTGAAATTCACCTTCGAAATACCTTTGAAATTCACAAAGGCTGCCCTACGACAAGGCCAGGGGAGTGGAGAAGAGACAGGGGCATGCTGCAAGAGCTGTGAGGTCTCAATGGGCCCCAGAACAAGGCTGGTTATAAATGTGTTTTCTAAGCAGCATTTCTCTTCTTTATGTTTAGTCCTAAGGGGAAGATACTCTTGAAATCTGTAGGCTGTGATGAAGAAAGGCTGCAAACAAAGCATTTTCAATGGAGAAACCCCAAGGTCCAGAAGGCAGACATTTACATTATTATTATTATTATTATTAAAGTTTTAGGGTACATGTGCTATCTCACACCAGTTAGAATGGCGATCATTAAAAAGTCAGGAAACAACAGGTGCTGGAGAGGATGTGGAGAAATAGGAACACTTTTACACTGTTGGTGGGACTGTAAACTAGTTCAACCATTGTGGAAGTCAGTGTGGCGATTCCTCAGGGATCTAGAACTAGAAATACCATTTAACCCAGCAACCCCATTACTGGGTATATACCCAAAGGATTATAAATCATGCTGCTATAAAGACACATGCACACGTATGTTTACTGCAGCACTATTCACAATAGATATTTACATTCTTAACCTGGCTTGGAGAAAGTTAGTTTCCATCTTCTCGATCTTTTCCTCAATCAAGATCCACCTTGGCTGAACCTGAGATTCCCCTCTTCCCACAAAACGCAGCTGTCCATCATCCCACACTGGTGCCTATAATCGTCATAACTTCCGTAGGTTTGGTGCCCACCTACACACACTCCCTGCTCCTGGAGGGACTCCCTCACCCACTTCTCAGAGATTAAGTTTTCATTTCATGCAACCTCTCCCCTCAATATTTTCCTCCTTCAACAAATCCTACTTTAATAATTTTTTAAAATCTTTATTCTTAGAATTCCATTTCACAGTATCTTCCAGGCCTCAATCTGTTCAGAAATTTCCAAAATATAAACACACGCCTTTCCATCTAATATACTGGCTATATTTAGCCACCTGTATTCGGTTACACTCTGATTCTGGGCGTTTTGCCTTCTCTATATCTGGGTGTTATGGACTGAACTGAGTACCCCTAAAATCCATATGGTAAAGTCCTGACCCCCCAGTACACCTCAGAATCTGACTGTATTTGGAGATAGGGCCTTTAAAGAGGTAACTAAGGTTTAACGAGGTCATATGGATGGGCCCTAATCCAATAGGACTGGTGTCCTTACACAAAGAGGAAGAGACACTGGGAATTCCATGCACACAAGGAAGACCATGTAAGGACTCAGCAAGAAGACAGCCGTCTGCAAGCCAAGGAAAGACGCCTCAAGAGAAATCAACTGACACCCTGCTGACACCCTGATCTTGCACTTCCAGCCTCCAGAACTGTGAGAAAATAAATGCCTATTGTTTAAGCCACCCAGTCTGTGGTATTCTGTTACATTAGCCCAAACAAATACACCGGGCAACATAAAGGATCTTCCATACTCAGGCAATGTGTCTTTGAATATACATTCTCTTTATATATTTTTCCCAGGTTTATTGGGGAAAACCCACCCACCATGTTTGCTACTTTATTGTGCTTTGTTTCTTCACCAAATCATGGAATGATCCTGTATGGAGCCAGACAATAGGCTGTCTCTGTTTCCATCTGGTGTGTAGTCCAGTGTGGGAGACTGACACACACAGCCAAGTAAATCAGGGTGTGAATGGCTTTGAGGGTGGAGGGAGGCACAGTGGTGAGGGTGCTTTGGAAGACTTCAAAAGGGCACCCAGAAGGGACTCCTGGGATGGGGCAGGAGGAGGTGGATCTCAGCTGTCTTAAAAGGAGGAGCAGGCTGGGCGTGGTGGCTCACACCTGTAATCCCAGCACTTTGGGCAGCTGAGGTGGGTGAATCACCTGAGGTCAGGAGTTCAAGACCAGCCTGGACAACATGGTGAAATCCCATCTCTACTAAAAATACAAAAATTAGCCAGGTGTGGTGCCACACTCCTGTAATCCCAGCTACTCGGGAGGCTGAGGCAGGAGAATCGCTTGAGCCCGGGAGGTGGAGGATGCAGTGAGCCAAGATCACACCACTGCACTCCAGCCTGGGCAACAAGAGCGAAACTCTGTCTCAAAAAAATAAGAAATAAAACTAAAAAGGAGGAGCAGTATTTAGTTAAGTGAAGAGAAGCCCAGTGGGCAGCCAAGGCCCAGTAAATGGAATTATACTGAAAAAGGGGAACCAGTGAAAGCAGCCAGAACTCACTCTTTCGGAGAATACAGGCCATGAGAGAAGGGTTAGAAATGCTGGGTGGAGAGGTCAAACAGTCTAGTGGGTGGCTGGTGCAGCCACTGTTGAGTGCGTTCAGCGATGGCCCCTCTGAAGGACAGGAACGAGGCAGCCACGTGTGGTCAGGGGAAAAGCATTCCGGGCAGAAGGGTGAGGCAGCCCGTTCTAAGATCCCAAGGACCACACGGGGTGGATGGTATTTGGAAAAAAATCTCACAACTGAGAATTGTGACTTCTGCATTAATTAGATATCTCTCTATAAACTTTTAGTCTAATGAGGACTTGTAAGATGAGGTTCAGAGCTATCAACCTAGCATGACATATTTCCTGAGGTGTCCTAGGTTAATGAACCAGTCACTGACATGGCATAGCCCCAGCTAGTGACCTTCTGGTTGAACACAGCCAGCACGAGCTTTGCACTAACAGATGTTCTCGAATGTATTAATTTTTGAAAATATTTTGTAATTAGCTCTTTGATGGTCACATATTGGCCTTTCCACAATTACCTCCAGTTAGGAAGATTGTACTTGGTATGCAGTGGCACGATCTCTGCTCACTGCAACCTCTGCCTCCCAGGTTCAAGTGATTCTCCTGCCTCAGTCTCCCGAGTATCTGGGACTACAGGCACACGCCACCATGCCCAGCTAATTTTTGTATTTTTAGTAGAGATGGGGTTTCACCATGTTGGCCACGATGGTCTCAATCTCTCAATCTCCTGACCTTGTGATCCACCTGCCTCAGCCTCCCAAAGTGCTGGGATTACAGGCGTGAGCCACCATGCCCGGCCAATTGTTTTTCAATTATACTTTTTCCGATACTAAAGTCATTTGATATTCCTTGAGTACATGACAAGTGGAAGAGACAGGAGATGGCTCTGTCAAAGGCCTCAGAATATGACTTGGTTACAGACAGTTCATAAGACCAGTGGCTCCTGGGAAGGGAATTGCCAGTGGCTGTAAGCACGTCCTGGTCTCTCTTGGGTCAGTGACTCTACTAAAAACTTACGGAGAACAATTATTCAATTACATATGCTCAAGAGATTCAGAACGTGAAGACAAATTGATAGGACCCCGATTCTATGACAAGCCTAAAAGATGCCTTTAATTCCTTTGTTCAGTTTTAATGGGAGTTTATTATGTGTATGTATATATTTTTTTTATTTGGACGAATTTAAGGGGTACAAGTACAGCTTGTTACATGGAAATACTGTAGTGGTGAAGTCTGGCTTTTAGTGTAACAATCACTCAAAGAGTGTGCCTTGTCCCCATTAGGTAATTTCTCATCCATCATCCCCCTTCTACCCTCCCGAGTCTCCAATGACTATAATTCCACATGCTAGGTCCATATGTACACATTATTTAGTATTTATATTTGTTCTAATGTTTCTCAGCCAATGGGATCTCTACTAAAACTCTTCTAGCACAAGTGTGGGTAGGCACATGCATTTAGATAATCTGGCCAGCGCGGTGGCTCACCCCTGTAATCCCAGCACTCTGGGTGCTGTCCGCCCAGATCATCTGTGGACAGATCACCTGAAGTCAGGAGTTTGAGACCAGACTGGCCAACATGGTGAAATCCCATCTCTACAAAAATACAAAAGTTAGCCAGGCATGATGGCGGGCGCCTGTAATCCCAGCTACTCGGGAGGCTGAGGTGGGAGAATCGCTTGAAAACCTGGGAGGCGGCCACTGTGGTGAGCCGAGATTGCGCCATTGCACTCCGGCCCGGGTGACAGAGCAAGACTCCACCTCAAAAAAAAAAAAAAGATAATCCAAGAAAGACCCAACAATGCCTTTGAAAGAGCAAAGACAAAACAAATATTGCCTGTCTATTGCTCAGCCTTGCAAAACTTTACTCACTGCCTTTGTTGGTGAAGTCTCAGCGGCTTCTGGGTTTACTTTCTATCAGCAGCCCTGACAAAGGTGCATGGCCCCAGCCGCCCACCACATGGCTTCCCTGCTGCGTGCCGGCTGCTGAGGCTGGGACCTGCAGAGCCCTCACACATTTTTGTCTTTCTACCCGTACTCATCGCTTAGGTCCTAGCTTGAATGTCGCTACTACAGATATGCCTTTCCTGACCCCTAGACCAGATGAGACCCCTCAATACATTCGCTCTTAGCACCTGTCTTTCTGCACAGCACACACCAGTTATACTTAGGTGGTAGCAGAGTTAGCTGGGTCAGGCTCCTCCTCCTGTCCCACCCTATCCCAGACTGTGAACTCCACGAAGGCAGGGCAATGCCTGCCTCATTTACCGCTGTTTACCCAGAGCCTTGCATGGTACTTACACAGAGAAAAAATGAACTAAATATTTGCTGACTAAAGAAAGATGATGGCCAAGCGGGGTGGAGCTCCTGTATTCCTAGCACTTTGGGAGGCTGAGATGGAAGGATCATTTGAGGCAGGAGTTGGAGGCTGCAGTGAGCTATGATCATGCCACTCACTCCAGCATGGGTGACAGAGCAAGACTCTATCTCTAGAATAATAAACAAATAAATAAATATTTTGCACAAAACTGCATAGTGAGTGGGGTGTGGTCTGGCTGGGTATGGTGACCTTAAGCAGCCATGTAAATTCTCAAAGCATGCAGCATGAAGCTCACGAAAGAAGCCTTCTGAAGCCTTCTTATCTTATCTTATCTTATCTTATCTTATCTTATCTTATCTTATCTTATCTTATCTTATCTTATCTTATCTTATTGGGGGAGACGGGCTCCGTCACCCAGGCTGGAATGCAGTGGCGTGATCTCTCAGCTCACTGCAACCTCCACTTCCTGGGCTCCGGCAATTCTCCAGCCTCAGCATCCAGAGTAGCTGGAATTACAGGCGTGTGACACCATGCCCAGCTAGCTTTTGTATTTTTAGTAGAGACATGGTTTTGCCAAGTTGGCCAGGCTGGTCTCAAATTTCCGACCTCAGGTGATTTGCCCACCTCAGACTCCCAAAGTGCTGGGATTACAGGCGTGAGCCATGGCATCTGGCCTGCCTACCTCCTTTAGCTGACTGGCCGCTGAGACAATCCTCCCTCAACTTCTACTTCATTCATTCATTCATTCATCATTCATTCATTCATTCATTCATTCTTGACTTTCCCCATCCCCTAACCTTGATAGCGGTTTGCATGTTGTACCCTTGTTTCACCAATAGTCTCTCCTCCCGGCCTCTTCTGCTCTGAGTTTGGCCTTTTAGCTTGGAGTGGGTGCCTCACACTCAGAAGAATATTCTAGAACCTCCAGCCCACCCAGGGAATGGCTGTCCCACCTGGCTGGTCCTGGCTTTGTGCAGGGACCCCCAGCAGACAAGACTTGGTGACTTCCCTCTGCAATCGAAGGTTACATCTAAACAAAAGAACCCTTCAGCGCATTTTAATAATCATCCATTTCAAAAATCATGCCAGAAAACCATTTAGAATGATCTGCTAAAGGGTAAGTGAGTGAGTGAGTGATATGCACAGCATGTGGGCACAGAGTGACCCCCGGGTGGGGACAACTGGCTGGCAATGTCACAGCCCAAACTGTGCCACATGGACAGGGCAGGGTAATCAAAACACACATACTCAGCGCCTGGGAAAAAAAACAATTAAATCATGGGAATTTGTCAGTTGCGAATTTTGACAGATAATAGTTTTAAAGCCTTCCCTTGTTATTGCACAAATGTACAGTATGTGCTGAAATGGCTTTGTCAATTGATGTGCTCTTTTAGAATTAAGATGAGGAAACAGACCAGCTGCCAGACGTTCCAGGTAAGCATCCACTGTCCTTGGCTCCTTCTCACTCAGCGCAAATGGCTGCAACCCGAGAATAGAACAAAACCTCTACTCATGGCTATGGTGTAGGCAGCTTTTAAAACACACTTTCTGGCCGGACACAGTGGCTCACACTTGTCATCCCAGCACTTTGGGAGGCCGAACGAAGCAGGCGGATCATTTGCAGTCAGGAGTTTGAGACCAGCCTGGCCAACACGGTGAAATTCCGTCTCTACTGAAAATACAAAAATTAGCCAGGTGTTGGTGGGCACCTGTAATATAAAATTTAGCATGGTGGTGGGCACGTGTAATCCCAGCTACTTGGGAGGCTGAGGCAGGAGAATTGCTTGAGCCCAGGAGGCAGAAGTTGCAGTGAGCAGAGACTGTGCCACTGCACTTCGGCCTGGGTGACAGAGCGAGACTTCATCAAAACAAACAAACAAACAAACAAACAAAAAACAAACAAACAAACAAACAAACATCCACACTTTCTATGTGTTCCAGTCCCTTATTGGACAAAAGCCATTCTTACAATGGATTTCTTTTTTTTTTTTTTTTTTTTTAACTTTCTAGCACCTACACATTCATCCTCCACATTTAGTATAGAGGAAAATAACACACGACGTGACACCGAATGGGAACACTGCAACAAGACAACATTTTTAACAACCTATAAAACCACATTATGTTGGTATTAATAGTATGCACTAGCCTTAATGTTAAAAAAAATGACAAAGATTTTTTTCCCCAATATTTATAAGGTTTACTAAGGATAGATACCACTATTCTCAAAGAATGAACAGTGACCATGTGAATTACTGTCCTGAAATTTAGGTTGCAATTTTGAATAGCTCCCAGGCATCACGCCCCAAATTTAGGAGCTGTCTTCCAGCAAAGACTATCAGTCAAGGTGTGGAGCATGGTTAGACCTAAAGTTCACGCTTTTACACTTGCAATTGTCTCTCTATAAAAACCAATCACTAATTAAAGTAATTGTAGAAACACTCATTAGTTACAATCAAATTGAACAGAGAAACAAGTCACAGAAAAATCTGCAGCCTCCTCAGCCCCTTAAGATTTCTTCATCTGTTTTCATCAAAGCACTCTGTCACTCAGGCTGCCATGCACTGCTACGATCACTGCAGTGAGTTCAAGCTCACTGCAGCCTTGAACTCCTAGGCTCAAGCAATCCTCCTGTCTCAGGCTCTCGAATAGCTGGGACTACAGGTGTGCACCACCACAACTGGCTAATTTTGCTTTGCTTATTATCAATCCCCACTGATGGACTAATGGACATTTTGGGGCTCTCCCTGCTATGGTCACTGTCAGCAGGAGCTTTCCAGGCAGGGCACAGTAAACAGCATCTTCTGGTGAGCTGTGGGACTAGCTACTGTCCTTCTCAACAGATGAGTTACTCTGGTCAACTGAGGACCCCAAAACCCAAAGCTTACAGCAGCTCCCAGTGTTTTTATTCACATTCCAGAAAGCAAGCCTTTTCCAGGAACTCTTGTCTTTTCCTCTTTAAGTTTTTCAATGGTTCTAAAGGAAAACTCTGAGTCACACGCCAGTGCCCCCATCCCTGCCCGTGGGCCCCTCCAGACCCTCGGCATCCCTCCAGCCAGAGTCCAAGTCCCTGGCTCATGCCTGCAACCGCATGAGTTTCATGCATTTTTCCCCTTCTTTGTTCTCAATGTCTTAGCACATGATGGCTCCCTGCTACTGAGGTCTTACAAGAGACCCTTGAGAAATCTATTTCTTATTGAGACTATTCTGAAAGACACTAAGCATGCTTGCTTTTGAACAACTTTTAACAAAAAGAACAGGAAGAGTTTAAATACCATGAGCTGTGGAGGGTGAAGAGAGGAATAAAATTGCATTGTTCTGGCCAGACCAGATTCTGGAATGGCTTCTTAGCATCCCTTCGCTGCATCCTCTGACTGGCGCCGTGAGGGTTAATTTTATGAAACTTGAATGGGCCACAGTGGTCAAATATTTGGTCAAACATTATTCTGGATGAGTGTGTCTGCTTTTTGGATGAGATTAACATTTAAACCGGTAGACAAAGTATAGCAAATTTGACTTCCCTAATGAGAGTGGGCCTCATTCAAAGATCTGGACAGAACATAAAAGGGTGTCCCCCACCCCGAATATGAGGGGATCCCTCCTGCTTGACTGCTTTAAAGCTGGGACATTGGCTTTTTCCTGCCTTTGGACTTTGAACTGATATAAATGCTCTTCCCAGGACTCGAGCCTGCTGGCTTTCAGACTGAAACTCATACAATCAGCTCTCCGGGGTCTCCAGCTTGCCACCTGCAGATCTTGGGACTCACCATCCTCTAACCATGTAAGTCAATTGTTTATATCAATAAATCTCTTTCTGGAGAGGTGCAGTGGCTCATGCCTATAATCCTAGCACTCTGGGAAGCCAAGGCAGGAGGATCGCTTGAAGCCAGGAGTTCAAGACCAGCCTGGGCAACATAGCACGACCAGCCCCTGCTCCCCTCCGCTCCTGTCTCTTCAAAAAATAAAAATAATTGGCCAGGCGTGGTGGTGCACACTTGTAGTCCCAGCTATTCAAGAGGCTGAGACAAGAGGATTGTTTACACCCAGGAGTTCAAGGCTGCAATGAGCTATGATTGCAGCACTCCACTCCAGCCTGAGTGACAGAGTGAGACCTTGTCTCTTAAAAGAACAAACGCCGGTAATCCCAGCACTTTGGGAGGCTGAGGCGGGTGGAACATGAGGTCAGGAGATCAAGACCATTCTGGCCAACACGGTGAAACCCCGTCTCTACTAAAAATACAAAAATTAGCTGGGCTTGGTGGTGTGCGCCTGTAGTCCCAGCTACTCGGGAAGCTGAGGCAGGAGAATCGCTTGAACCCAGGAGATGGAGGCTGCAGCGAGCCGAGATCGTGCCACTGCACTCTAGCCTGGGCAACAGAGCAGGACTCCATCTCAAAAGACAAACAAACAAACAAAAAGAATTAAATTAAAAAAAAAACAACTCTTTCTCCATTTATTTGTCTATCTATATACCTCCTATTGGCTGTTACTTTGGAGAACCATAAAACAGGGGCTTTCTGCTTCTAGGGTTCCATTAACCCCAACTAAAGGCATCTATTGTAGTATCAGAAGGATAAACTGATCTGGTCTCTAAAATGTAGGAACCTCAGACGCCTTTTAGTTAAACCCCTCATTTCATGGTGAGGAAAGCGATGCCCCCAGCTGTGGCGTGGCTCACCTCCCGCCCCCGTCACACAGTTCAGTGTGGCACAAGGGCATGGCCTCATGCTGTTTCCTGTGAAACGCTCCTTTCCTCAGTAACTCTGGTCACGATTATAGAAGGGAAAGCAGATGGCAGAAAAAATAATGTGGAAAGAGAAAAGGAATGAGAAGTAGAACAGGAGAGACGGCAAGGTCAGGGAAGCAAGAAAGAGAAGGTGTTCCAGGAGCTGTCTGCTTGCTCAGAGACCCCCAAAACATTTTCCTGTAATGTGGATGGAAATGAATGGCACAGAAAATTCACATTTCTAAACAATAAGCCTAACGTTCCAATGTCCTCCCAATTTCTGGCAAGCTTTTCTAAAATGTGTTAGCCTCAAGTGGACAGATTTGAGATTCACTAACTTTTTTTTTTTTTTTTGAGACGGAGTCTTGCTCTGTCGCCCAGGCTGGAGTGCAGTGGCGAGATCTGGGCTCACTGCAAGCTCCGCCTCCCGGGTTCACGCCATTCTCCTGCCTCAGCCTCCCGAGTAGCTGGGACTACAGGCACCTGTCACCACGCCCAGCTAATTTTTTGTTTTTTTAGTAGAGACGGGGTTTCACCGTGTTAGCCAGGATGATCTCCACCTCCTGACCATGCGGATCCGTCCGCCTCGTCAGTAACTTTTTAATAGCTCTACAGGCATCACCGGCATCGGGACAAATACAGTCGGCATCAGGACAAATATTAAATGTATCTTTGATGACAAAAACACTTTGATGCAAAACCGACTAGAAGCCTAAGATGTTGTCTAAGTACCAAAGGGGCCCTGGGACATACTTTCAACTAAGTGACTGTTCTTGAGTTGTGGTATTCTGGAAGAAAGTTGTCAGATTTCGTCAGCCAGGCAAAGTAGCTCATGCCTGTAATCCCAGCACTTTGGGGGGCCGAAGCGCATGGATCAGCTGAGGTCAGCGGTTCGAGACCAGCCTGGCCAACATGGTGAAATCCCATCTCTACTAAAAATACCAAAAATTAGCTGGGCGTGGTGGCGGGCACCTGTAATCCCAGCTACTCGGGAGGCCGAGACAGGAGAATCGTTTGAACCCAGGAGGCGGAGGTTGTGGTGAGCTGAGATCACACCATTGCACTCCTGCCTGGGCAACAAGAGCGAAACTCCATCTCAAAAAAAAAAAAGAAAAAAAGAAAATTGGCAGAGTTTCTTGCATTTGGAAAAACAAAACTAAAACAAAAATCCATATACAGCAACACTTGAAAAACTCATGTAAGTGACCTTAGATAGAGATGCTTTCTTCAGCACTACCAGAATTGTTGAACTGTCCAATTCCCTTCACCACATTCTGTTTCTAGTATTCTAGCGTGTGTGTGTGTGCGTGCGCACACGCATGTGTTTATGTTATTTGAAAATAACTATAAGCTTTGGTCAATCTGGGTCTTAAAAAATACAGCAGAGCAGCTGGGCACGGTGGCTCACACCTGTAATCCCAGCACTTTGAGAGGCTGAGGCGGGCGGATCACGAGATCAGGAAATCGAGACCATCCTGGCTAACACGGTGAAACCCTGTCTCTACTAAAAATACAAAAAATTGGCTGGGCGTGGTGGTGGGTGCCTGTAGTCCCAGCTACTCGGGAGGCTGAGGCAGGAGAACGGCGTGAACTCGGAAGGCAGAGCTTGCAGTGAGCCGAGATTGCGCCATTGCGCTCCAGCCTGGACGATGGCGAGACTGTTCAATGAGGGAGTCCAGAATGGACATCCCCATGATTCTATGAATGACAGTGGCTCTCAGCAGCCATGGCCACTATACCTGAGCACAAGGAATGAAGTTTCGTGGGCACAGAACTGAGAGCCTCAAGCAAGAATCTGACTTGTTTTGTTATTTTTAGAGACAGGGTCTTGCTGTGTTGCCCAGGCTGGAGTACAGTGGCATGACCACAGCTCACTGCAGCCTTGAACTCCTGGGTTCAAGCGATCCTTCTCCCTTATCCTCGTGAGTAGCTGGGATTACAGGCATGAGCCACCACGTCTGGCTTTTTTTTTTTTTTAATTTTTATTTTTGTAGAGACCAACTCTCACAATGTTGCCCAGGCTGCTCTCAAATTCCCAGCCTCAAGTGATCCTCCCACTTCAGCCTCCCAAAGTGCTGGGATACAGGTGTGAGCCACTGTACCCTGAGTTTTGTTTTTAAGGTTCGCCTTTCTTTGTTGCCAGTGTGTTTTTTAAAATATGCCTTTCTGCTTCACACACACTAGGATGGCTACATTTTAAAACCAAAACAGCAAAAAGGAAAATAATGAGTGTTGGCAATGAGAATGTAGAGAAAGTGGAACCTCACCCATTGCTGGTGGAAATGTAAAGTGGGGCAGCCACGATGGAAAACAGTTTAACAATTTCTCAAAAAGTGAAACTATAGCATTATGGGATGACCTAGCAATTTCATTCCTTAGGTATATACCTGTGAGATCTGAAAACACACATTCATACAAAAATCAGTGTTCACAGCAGAATTGTTCATAATAGCCAAAAAGTGGAAGCAACCCAAATGTCTATCAATTGATGAATGGAAAAACAAAATATATTTACATAATCCATATACGGAATATTTTAGCCATAAAAAGAAACGCAGTACTGATACAAACAACAACATGAGAAACACATTGAAAACATTATGCTAAGGGAAGGAACCAGACACAAAAGGCCACATATTATATGATCTCATTTATATGAAATGTCCAGAAAAGGCAAATTTTTTTTTTTTTTTTTGAAACGGAGTCTCACTCTGTTACCCAGGCTGGAGTGCAGTGGCCGGATCTCAGCTCACTGCAACCTCTGCCTCCCAGGTTCAAGCCATTCTCCTGTTTCAGCCTCTGGAGTAGCTGGGATTACAGGCGTGTGCTACCACATCCAGCTAATTTCTGTATTTTTAGTAGAGACAGGGTTTCACCATGTTGACCAGTCTGGTCTTGAACTCCTGACCTCAGGTGATCTGCCTGCCTTGGCCTCCCAAAGTGCTGAGATTACAGGCGTGAGCCACTGCACCTGGCCCGGAACAGGCAAATCTTTAGAGAGAATGTAGATTCATGACTGCCAGATGCTGGGAAGGAAAGAGAAATAGGGAGTGACTGCTAGTGAGTTTAGAGGTCGTTTTGGGGGTGGTAGGAATGTTCTGAAGTTCTGTAGTGGTGATGGTGATCCAACTCTGTGAACATATTAAAGTACTGTACTGAGTTGTACAACTTGAAAGGGTGAATTTTATGGTATGTGATTTATACCTATTTTTTAAGTGCATTCTTCCCTTTTTTTATAGACCCATTATTTCATCAACAGGAGCAGAAATGTGACAAATGAAGGCAAATTTTTATACGACCTTAGAAATAGCCTAGTTTTCCCTTGTCTTTCTTTTCCTTTTTCTTTTTTTCTTTTTTCTTTTTTTTTTTTTGAGACAGGGTCTTACCCTGTCACCCAGGCTGGAGGACGGTGGCACAATCTTGGCTCACTGCAACCTCTGCCTCCTGGGTTCAAGTGATTCTCCTGCCTCAGCCTCCCAAGTAGCTAAGATTACAGGTGCCTGCCACCATGCCCGGCTAATTTTTGTATTTTTAGTAGGGATGGGGTTTCATCATGTTGGCCAGCCAGGCTGGTCTCAAACTCCTGACCTCAAGCAATCTGCCTGCCTCGGCCTCGCAAAGTGCTGGGATTACAGGCGTGAGCCACGGCACCCAGCCTTGTCTTGGTTTCTTGTTCAATCTTCTTTGTCTTTACTCTTCCTCTTTTCTGGTGACATACCAAGATGACCTCTCATCAGAGCTATGCCTCCTTTCCCACACACCCTTCCTCTTTTAACACCTGCTGTCTTGCGCACATCCATATGTGTTTAAACAGTCCCCGTCTCTGACGCGGGCTCTCCTCTTGAAGAATAAACTGGAAGAACTCTAAAGCATGGAGCTCTTTGTCAGATGTGGTATTCTTAGACGACCTCGGGGAATAAACCACTTAACACAGGGAGCTGGAGTCATTCTCTTTGGAAACAGCTTTTAGTTAGTTACATCTCCCAAGATCTTCTATGATGTGATCTCAAATAACTGTTCAATGGCACCTCACTCGCTCATATTATTCCCAGCTAAAGAGCCCTTCAAGCTAAGAACTTCACTGAGCTGAAACCTCAGCTCACGTGATTTGCTTCAAAATCTACCAGACATAATTTTAAAAAGAGGGTGTGTGTGCCATTAGGGTGATGAAAACGTTCTGAAACTGGATTCAGGTGATGGTTGCACAACTCGGCCAATTTACTGAAAATCATTCAATTGTACATTCGAAATGAGTGAATTTTATGGTACATAAATTACGCTTCTGCTGTGCGTGGTGGCTCATGCCTGTAATCCCAGCACTTTGGGAGGCCAAGGCAGGCGGATTGCCTGAGCCCAGGAGTTGGAAACCAGCCTGGACAACACGGTGAGACCCCGTCTCTACTAAAAATTTAAAAGTTAGCTGGGCGTGGTGGCACATGCCTGTAGTCCCAGCTACTTGAGGGCTGAGGTGGAAGGATGGTTTGAGCCCAGGAGTTTGAGGCTGTGGTGAGCTATGATTGCACCACTGCACTCCAGCCTGGGCAACAGAGCGAGACCCTGTCTAAAAATATATATACACCTCAAAAACGTGTTAAAACACAAAAACAAAGGGAAGCAGTGGGCGTAGGCAGAGAGAGGGCAAGATGGGCCTTATGTGGACATTGTCCCTTCAGTGGAGGGGATGCTGCTGGGTGTGGCCTTGCTCTCCCCTTCAGGACACCCCAGATGCTGGCACTGTTGGCTGAGGCCAGCTCTTAGCTGAATCCCTCACCTTTAGCACATGAGAGCTAAAGATCCCTCTCTAGGAGCAGCTCACATCCAGACAATGAGAGGATGTAAATGTCCATCCTCCCTCCTTGTCCCAAAGCAGGAGAAATCCCTGCAGGGCCGTCTCAGTTCCAAAGTTCTGGGATGGCTGAGGCCTTGCTGAGCCTGCTCTGTGGCCCAATTCCCTTCCCTGGCCCTCTCCTGCTTCCCTCCCTTCCCGGCAGATGCGTATCCTGGGGACTCTCCGAAGAAAACCACCTGCTCCCAAACCTCTGCTTCAGAGGCTGTTTCCAGGGAAACCGACCTAAGACAAGAGGCTCCTGACATATTCTCTCTACATTTGTAAATGCTGAACATGTTTCATAAGAAATAAGAAAACCAAAAGGTTCCCTGAACAGAAGCACCACAAACTCTAGGGAAAACATATCTGATGTTTCACAGACTGTAGCCAATACAAAATTTGTTGTCCATGGAAACAGAGCAAGGCAAGCCAAGAGGGCGGCCCTCGCTGTCCCTGAATCTCAGGGTCAGGAGCCTGGTTCAGCGTGGTCAGTGCCTTTCTGGCTGTCCTGTAAGGACTGCGAGATGCATTTACCCATCTGTGCAGAGGGATTTGCTGAACTTAGGTCTAACCCGGCGGTTCGTAACTGTTACAAGAGCATGTGGTCTCTGCTAAGCATGAAGAAAGGAATATGGGAAAATCTGAGAGTACTCAGGCTCTCAGAGAGGTGATGAGAAGACAGGAAACTCTGTACCCCCGTTTGAATTTAGAATCCATGCGTTTCCTTCATTTAATACACTTGCACCCTCTGCTAGAAAGCCTGGAGGCAGGAGGATGATAAGATTTTGGTGATTAAATGATTTAAAGTCACAGATAGAGGAGAATTTGAGTGCATTCAACATTTTCAGTCTCTTCCATCAAAAGGATGATGTGGAAAATCCCCTTCCTTTAGGCAGTCCAGGAACCACCAATTATCTGAAATTGCCTTGCTTAAGGAAATTCCAAATCTCATTCAAAACTTCTGGCTAGCTCATGATTATTAACTCCCACTGGCACATGAGATGAATATTGGTGGTGCACTAAAAAGTCCTCAACCAAAGGGATGTGAGTGACCGCTTTTGTTATGCTAGGTTCAACTCAGTACCCAGTACTATGGAATGTGTTGTCCTATGCAAAAAAAACAAAAACAAAACAGAGATCTCTCCAAAAGAGGCACTGCCTCCCAAAATCTTGAACTGCCTCGGCTCAGCTATTTGTGTCTTGTTCAAACTCTCAGCTTCTCTAGCCTCATCAGTCCATCCTACCTGCCTTTCCAGCTCCATCTCCCAGTTTCTTTTCTTTTTTTTTCTTTTGAGATGGAGTCTCCCTCTGTTACCCAGGCTGGAGCGCAGTGGCATGATCTCAGTTCACTGTAATCTCCACCTCCCAGGTTCAAACAGTTCTCCTGTCTCAGCCTCCCGAGTAGCTGGGACTACAGGCACTTGCCACCACGTCTGGCTGATTTTTTATTTTTAGTAGAGATGAGGTTTCGCCATGTTGCCCAGGCTGGTCTCAAACTCCTGCCCTCAGGTGATTCGCCTGCCTCCACCTCCCAAAGTGCTGGGATTACAGGCGTGAGCCACTGTGCCTGGCCCATCTCCCGGTTTCTGATCTTGTCTCTCTCCCTTGATGTGGCACCTCCACGAAACAGTCATTTATTTACAAAACAAGCTCTGTGCATTTCCTTCATGGGGTGGCCTCTGGGTGCCTTTCCACGCAGCTACACCAGGGGTGTCAGGGAGGGCTGCATAAACGGAGAGCAGAGGTGAGGCCCCAGGAAAAAGCTGAGCACAGACAGAAAGATTCACAGAAGGAAGGTGGAGAAATAATATCCCAGATGACGGGATGAAACAGCACACAGGAACTACTCGGTTCCTACCTCAGATACTATTTTTACAAGGTAGGAAATATATTTGGCATAAGTAATACCATCGTCCAATTCATTACTACAGTAAATCTTTGACTTTTCAAAAATATTTGTGCAACTGTACAAATTCCACTTTCTTCTCACAGGAAAGCTATTGTTGGTCTTATTTTAAGAATAAGGCAACCAGGTTACAGGAAGGAAAAATGATTCGATGGGTCGGTAGCTGAGCTGTAACGAACCAAGACCGAGAGAGCACCATACAATTAGGGGTCTTTTGAAATTTCTGATTACAAGTAGTACATGCTCAGTACAAACAATATGGAATGTATACAAAGTACACGAAACTAAAATGTCATCCCAAACTCCACCACCAAAGGGCACCCAGAATTAATATTTTACCTTTATCCTCTCAATCTTTTTTTTCTAAGTTGTATTGAGATCAAAGCATATATCTCAGCCGGGTGCGGTGGCTCACTCATGTAATCCCAGCATTTTGGGAGGCCGAGGCGGGTGGATCACGAGGTCAGGAGTTCGAGACCAGCCTGGCCAACATGGTGAAACACCGTCTCTACTGAAAATACAAAAAAAAAAAAAAAAAAAATTAGCCGGGTGTGGTGGCATGCACCTGTAATCCCAGCTACTCCGGAGGCTGAGGCAGGAAAACTGCTTAAACCCGAGAGGCGGAGGTTATAGTGAGCCAAGATGGCGCAACTGTGCTCCACAGCCTGAGCAACAGAGCAAGACTCTGTCTCGGGGGGAGAGGGGAACGTATCTATCTCATTTTGTATTAACCTTTTTTCTTTTTCTGAGACAGGGTTTCTCTCTGTTGCCCAGGATGGAGTGCAGGGGCGCAATCATGGCTCACTGCAATCTCCGCCTTCTGGGCTTAAGCGATCCTCCTGCCTCAACCTCCTGAGTAGCTGAGACCACAAGTACACACCACCACGCCTGGCTAATATTTCTATTTTTTGCAGAAACGAGGTTTCCCCATGTTGTCCAACCTGGTCTCAAACTTCTCGGCTCAAGCGATCCACCATCTTCCAAAGTGCTGGGATTGCAGGCGTGAATCACTGCACCCAGCCAAACTTTTCAATGAATGTTATATTACAAATGTTTCCCAACATTCACACATACCTCATAAGGTAATTTTGAAGTTTGCATAATCTTACGTGTGGTTATAGAATAATTTATTTTTATTTATTTATTTATTTAGAGACAGAGTCTTGCTCTGTTGCCCAGGCTGGAGTGCAGTGGTGTGATCTTAGCTCACTGCAGCCTCTGCTTCCTGGCTTTACGCGCTCCTCCTGCCTCAGCCTCCTGAGTAGCTGGGATTACAGGTGCGAGCCACCACGCCCGGCTAATTTTTTGCATTTTTAGTAGAGATGGGGTTTCACTGTGTTGGCCAGGATGGTCTCGATCTCCTGACCTCGTGATACGCCCGCCTCAGCCTCCCAAAGTGCTGGGATTACAGGTGTGAGCCACTGCACCTGGCCAGAATAATTTATTTTTAATGATATATTCCCTGTGGATATTTCTGTTATTATAAATAAAAATGAACAGATCAAGTTGGCATAAATATCTTTGTTTACATTTTGGATGATGCCATTCCTAGAAAAAGAATTCTAGCACTGGACAAACGACGACAGGAAAGAGCTCACGTGTCCTTCACTCCCACCAACAGTCTAACAGAGAATCCATTCGCTTTATTTTAGTCTTCATTTCTGATTAATCTATGTGACTCTTTGCATCTCTTGTTCACTAGTTACACAAGGTTAAAATGTCCTCTTATTGACAGAAATTCTTATGAGCTCTTACTAAGGTATAAGGATATTAATCCTGGGGTCTATCATAATTTCTGAAATATTTTTCATAGTTTGACATTTATCTTTTAATTATATTTTCCACACATTGTCACCTACAGATGCTTTTCATTTTATTGGGTAATTAGATTTCTCCACACATTCCTTCACTATTTATTGTCTTGAGGAAGAGTCTTCGTTTCAAAGATCTTACAAATATTTCTTCCCAAAGACCTTGTGATTTAATTTTTGATTTTACACTGAGTATATTATTTTAAGATTTTATTACCTTATTATACATTTTGTGAATTTATGACTAGTTATTCTTTAATCCATCTAGAATTTATTTTGATGTATGGTATAGGAGTCTCATATTATACAACTGGAATATGAGTTCAATAAACTCATGTTTATTTTAGGTGCTACAACAGGCATTCTTAATAGTATTTTATATTTACTTGTGTTTATCTTGTAGCTCACGTCCCCTTTACCCCAAAGTGAGTAAAGTGCTGTAGAATCTAGGATTTGGTCATATCACAATTATTGATAATTTTCAACGATACAAATGAACATTTCCAATACACAATGCCAAGAACAGAAGTGTTAAAGGGAAGGGATGGCAGAGCAGTGGGTAAGGTCACAGGCAGAAGTAAGAGGCGAGGCCAAGGAAGGTTTCAGCTGGGACCTGGGGAAAGTGGGGTGGGACTTTGCAAGTTGAGAGGACAGCAGACTCCAAAGCTCGGAGGAAAGAGGGCAGGGGTCTGGGGAATACGAGACAGCCTGTGTCACTGGGCAGTGCAGCCCGGGGTGGTCAGGAAGGGGCCTGACTAGGAAGTTCATTCTAATGATGACAGAGACACAGCACTTTGGGCAGAAATATCCCATGTTCAATTTCTGTCTAGGATGATCCTTCTGGTATGAAGCACAGGTTAGGGGAAATAATGGGGGTATGGAAACTGTCAAGAGGCTGCT